>NC_000017.11:26880354-26885980 GCF_000001405.40 Homo sapiens | reverse complement strand
GAAACGGAATCATCTTCACATAAAAACTATACAGATGCATTCTCAGGAACATTTTGGTGATGTTTGTATTCAACTCCCAGAGTTGAACTTTCCTTTGGAAAGAGCAGCTATGAAACACTCTTTTTCTAGAATCTGCAAGTGGACGTTTGGAGGGCTTTGTGGTTTGTGGTGGAAAAGGAAATATCTTCACCTAAATACTAGATAGAAGCATTCTCAGAAACTGCTTTGTGATGATTGCATTCACCTAACAGAGTTGAACATTCCTATTGATAGAGCAGTTCGTAAACACTCTTGTTGCAGAATCTGCAAGTGGATATTTGGACCACTCTGTGGCCTTCGTTTGAAACGGGTACATCTTCACATAAAATCTAGAGAGAAGCCTTCTGAGAAACTTCTCTGTGATGATTGCATTCAACTCACAGAGTTGAAACCTCCTATGGATAGAGCAGTGTTGAAACTCTCTTTTTGTGGAATCTGCAAGTGGATATGTGGACCCCTCCGAAGATGTCTTTGGAAACGGGAATATCTTCACATAAAAACTAAACAGAAGCATTCTCAGAAACTTCTCTGTGATGTTTGTGTTCAACTCCCAGAGTTTCACATTGCTTCTCATAGAGTAGTTCTGAAACATGCTTTTCATAGTGTCTGCAAGTGGACATTTGGAGCGCTTTCAGGCCTGTGGTGGAAAACGAATTATGGTCACATAAAAACTGGAGAGAAGCATTGTCAGAAACATCTTCGTGATGATAGCATTCAACTCACAGAGTTGAAGTTTCCTTTATAAACAGCACTTTCCAAACACTCTTTCTGTGGAATCTGCAAGTGGATATTTGGACCTCTTTGAAGATGTCGTTGGAAACGGGATAATGTTCACAGAAAAGCTAAACAGAGGCATTCTCAGAAACTTCTTTGTAATGTTTGCATTCAACTCACAGAGTTGAACTTTCCTTTTGAGAGACAAGCTTTGAAACACTCTTTCTCTAGAATCTGCAAGTGGATATTTGGAGGGATTTGAGGCCTGTGGTGGAAAGGGAATTATCTTCCCGTAAAAACTAGATGGAAGCATTCTCGGAAACTACTTTGTGATGATTGCATTCAAGTCACAGAGTTGAACATTCCCTTTGACAGAGCACTTTGGAAACTCTCGTTGTGTAGAGTCTGCTAGTGGAGATATGGACCGCTTTGAGGCCTATGGTAATAAAGGAAATAGCTTCATGTAAAAACTAGACAGTAGCATTCTCAGAAAACCCTTTGTGGCGACTGAGTTTAACTCACAGGGCTCAACATTCCTTTGGATGGAGAAGTTTCGAAACACACTCTTTGTAGAATCTGCAAGTGGATATTTGGGCCTCTCTGAGGATTTCGTTGGAAACGGGATAAACCGCACAGAAATAAATAGAAGCATTCCCAGAATCTTCTTCGTGATGTTTGCCTTCAACTCACAGTGTTGAACCTTTCTTTGATAGTTCAGGTTTGAAACACTCTTTTTGTTCAAACTTCAAGTGGATAATTGCACTTCTTTGAGGCCTATGCTAGTAAAGGAAATAACTTCATCTAAAAACAAGACAGAAGCTTTCTCAGAAAATCCTCTGGGATGATTGAGTTGAACTCACAGAGCTGTACTTTCCTTGGGATGGAGTAGTTTCGAAACACACTTTATGTAGAATCTGCAAGTGGATATTTGGACCTGTCTGAGGAATTCGTTGGAAACGGGATAATTTCAGCTAACTAAACAGAAGCAGTCTCAGAATCTTCTTTGTGATGTTTGCATTCAAATCCCAGAGTTGCACCTTCCTTGGAAAGTTCAGTTTTGAAACCCTCTTTTTCCAGGACCTACAAGTGGATATTTGGACCACTCTGTGGCCTTCGTTCGAAACGGGTATATCTTCACATAACATCTAGACAGAAGCCTTCTCAGAAACTTTTCTGTGATGACTGCATTCAACTCACAGAGTTGAACACTCCTTTTGAGAGCGCAGTTTTGAAACTCTCTTTCTGTGGAATCTGCAAGGGGACATGTAGACCTCTTTGAAGGTTTCGTTTGAAACAGAATCATCTTCACACAAAAATTACACGGAAGCATTCTCAGGAACTCCTCGGTGCTGTTTGTATTCAACTTCCAGAGTCGAACTTTCCTTCGGAAAGAGCAGCTATGAAACACTCTTTTTCTAGGATCTGCAAGTGGATATTTGGAGGCCTTTGAAGTTTGTGGTGGAAAAGGAAATATCTTCACATAAATACTAGTTAGAAGCATTCTCAGAAACTAATTTGTGATGATTGCATTCACCTCACAGAGTTGAACATTCCTATTGAGAGAGTAGTTTGGAAACACACTTTTTGTGGAATCTGCAAGTGGATATTTGGACCTCTCTGAGGATTTCGTTGGAAACGGGATAACGGCACCTACCTAAACAGAAGCATTCTCAGAAACTTCTTTGTGATGTTTGCATTCAAATCCCAGAGTTGAACCTTCCTTTGATAGTTCAGGTTTGAAACACTCTTTCTGTACGATCTGCAAGTGGATATTTGGACCACCCTGTGGTCTTCTTTTGAAACGGGTACATCTTCACATAACTTCTAGACAGGAGCCTTCTCAGAAAGTTCTCTGTGATGATTGCATTCAACTCACAGAGTTGAACCCTCCTATGGATAGAGCAGTTTTGAATCTCTCTTTTTGTGGAATCTGCAAGTGGATATGTGGACCTCTTTGAAGAAGTCTTTGGAAACGGGAATATCTTCACATAAAAACTAAACAGAAGCATTCTCAGAAACTTCTCTCTGATGTTTGCGTTCAACTCACAGAGTTTCACATTGCTTTTCATAGAGCAGTTCTGAAACATGCTTTCGGAGTGTCTGCAAGTGGATATTTGGAGAGCTTTCAGGCCTGTGTTGGAAAACGAATTATCGTCACATAAAAACTAGAGAGAAGCATTCTCAGAAACTTGTTTGTGATGATTGCATTCAACTCACAGAGTTGAAGGTTCCTTTTCAAACAGCAGTTTCCAAACACTCTTTCTGTGGAATCTGCAAGTGGATATTTGGACCTCTTTGAAGATGTCGTTGGAAACGGGATAATCTTCACAGAAAAGCTAAACAGAAGCATTCTCAGAAACTTCTTTGTGATGTTTGCATTCAACTCACAGAGTTGAACTTTCCTGTTGAGAGAGAAGCTGTGAAACATTCTTTCTCTAGACTCTGCAAGTGGATATTTGGAGGGCTTTGAGGCCTGTGGTGGAAAGGGAATTATCTTCCCGTAAAAACTAGATAGAAGCATTCTCAGAAACTACTTTGTGATGATTACATTCAAGTCACAGAGTTGAACATTCACTTTAACAGAGCACTTTGGAAACTCTCGTTGTGTAGAATCTGCAAGTGGAGCTATGGACCACTTTGAGGCCTATGGTAGTAAAGGAAATAGCTTCATATAAAAACTAGACAGTAGCATTCTCAGAAAACTCTTTGTGATGACTGAGTTTAACTCACAGGGCTGAAAATTCCTTTGGATGGAGCAGGTTCGAAACACACTCTTTGTAGAATCCGCAACTGGATATTTGGGCCTCTCTGAGGATTTCGTTAGAAACGGGATAAACCACACAGAACTAAACAGAAGTATTCTCAGAACCTTCTTCGTGATGTTTGCATTCAACTCACAGTGTTGAACCTTTCTTTGATAGTTCAGGTTTGAAACAATCTTTTTGTAGAAACTGTAAGTGGATAATTGCACTTCTTTGAGGCCTATCGTAGTAAAGGAAATAACTTCATATATAAACAAGACAGAAGCTTTCTCAGAAAATCCTCTGGGATGATAGAGTTGAACTCACAGAGCTGTACTTTCCTTGGGGTGGAGTAGTTTCGAAACACACTTTCTGTAGAATCTGCAAGTGGATATTTGGAGCTGTCTGAGGTATTCGTTGGAAACTTGGTAATTTCATCTAACTAAACAGAAGCAGTCTCAGAATCTTCTTTGTGATGTTTGCATTCAAATCCCAGAGTTGCACCTTCCTTGGAAAGTTCAGGTTTGAAACCCTCTTTTCGCAGGATCTACAAGTGGATATTTGGACCAATCTGTGGCCTTCGTTCGAAATGGGTATATCTTCACATAACACCTAGACAGAAGCATTCTCAGAAACTTTTCTGTGATGACTGCATTCAACTCACAGGGTTGAACACTCCTTTTGAGAGCACGGTTTTCAAACTCTCTTTCTGTGGAATCTGCAAGGGGATATGTAGACCTCTTTGAAGGTTTCGTTGGAAACAGAATCATCTTCACATAAAAATTACAAGGAAGCATTCTCAGGAACTCCTTGGTGCTGTTTGTATTCAAATTCCAGATTTGAACTTTCCTTCGGAAAGAGCAGCTATGAAACACTCTTTTTCTTGAATCTGCAAGTGGATATTTGGAGGGCTTTGAGGTTTGGGATGGAAAAGGAAATATCTTCACATAAATACTAGATAGAAGCATTCTCAGAAACTACTTTGTGATGATTGCATTCACCTCACAGAGTTGAACATTCCTATTGAGAGAGCAGTTTGGAAACACTCTTGTTGTGGAATGTGCAAGTGGAGATTTGGAGCGCTTTGAGGTCTATGGTAGTAAAGGGAATAGCTTCATAGAAAAACTAGACAGAAGCATTCTCAGAAAATACTTTGTGATGATTGAGTTTAACTCACAGAGCTGAACATTCCTTTGGATGGAGCAGGTGTGAAACACACTTTTTGTAGAATCTGCAAGTGGATATTTGGCCCTTTCTGAGGATTTCTTTGGAAACGGTATAAATGCACCTAACTAAACAGAAGCATTCTCAGAAACTTCTTTGTGATGTTTGCATTCAGATCAAAGAGTTGCACTTTCCTTTGATAGTTCAGGTTTGAAACACTCTTTCTGTACGATCTGCAAGTGGATATTTGGACCACTCTGTGGCCTTCGTTCGAAACGGGTACATCTTCACATAACATCTAGACAGAAGCCTTCTCAGAAACTTCTCTTTGATGATTGCATTCAACTCACAGAGTTGAACCCTCCTATAGATATAGCAGTTCTGAATCTCTCTTTTTGTGGAATCTGCAAGTGGATATGTGGACCTCTTTGAAGATGTCTTTGGAAACGGGAATATCTTCACATAAAAATTAAACAGAAGCATTCTCAGAAACTTCTCTCTCATGTTTGCGTTCACCTCACAGAGTTTCACATTGCTTTTCATAGAGCAGTTCTGAAACATGCTTTTCGGACTGTCTGCAAGTGGACATTTGGAGAGCTTTCAGGCCTGTGTTGGAAAATGAATTATCGTCACATAGACACTAGAGAGAAGCATTGTCAGGAACTTGTTTGTGATGGTTGCATTCAACTCACAGAGTTGAAGGTTCCTTTTCAACCAGCAGTTTCCAAGCACGCCTTCTGTGGAATCTGCAAGTGGATATTTGGACCTCTTTGAAGATATCGTTGGAAACGGGATAATCTTCACAGAAAAGCTAAACAGAAGCATTCTCAGAAACTCCTTTGTGATGTTTGCATTCAACTCACAGAGTTGAACATTCCTTTTGAGAGACAAGCTTTGAAACACTCTTTCTCTAGAATCTGCAAGTGGATATTTGGAGGGCTTTGAGGCCTGTGGTGGAAAGGGAATTA
>NC_000017.11:26876850-26880254 GCF_000001405.40 Homo sapiens | reverse complement strand
CTCCTCTCCATTCCATTCCATTACATTGCATTCTAAATCCATTCCATTCCATTCCTTTCTTTCAGCAGGATCTCACTCTGTCACTGAGGCTGGAGTGCAGTGCACAATCTCAGCTCACATTTTATTTCACCATTCCATTCCGTTGCGTTGCATTCCACTCCACTCCATTCAATTCCATTTTTCCCATTCCATTCCATTCCACTCCATTGCACTCCACTTCAGTCCACTCCACTCCACTCCACTCCACTCCATTCCACTCCACTCCCTGCCACTCCATTCCTCTCCACTCCATTCCATTCCTTTGCACTCCATACTACTCCACTCCACTACATTCCACTCCATTCCATTACTCTCCACTCTATTCCATTCCACTCCATTCCATTTTTTCCCACTCCAGTCAATTCCACTCCACCCCAGTCCATTCCACTTCACTCCAATCCATTCCAGTCTACTCCTTTCCATTCCACTTCACTCCACTCCACTCCATTCCACTACATTCCACTCCACTCCATTCCACTCCACTCCATTCCACTCCATTTGATTCCACTCCACCCAACTCCACTCCACTAAACTCCATTCCTTTCCATTCCATTCTACACCTATCCTCTCTACACTACTCCATTTTGTTCCATCCCATTCCATTCCACTCCATTCCACTCCACTCCACTCCACCCCACTCCACTCCACTCCAATCCATTCCATTCCATAACAATCCATACCACTCCATTTCATTCCACTCCAATCCACTCCACTCCACTCCACTCCATTCCATTACATTCCATTCTAAATCCACTCTATACCATTCCTTTTTTTCGTCAGGATCTCACTCTGTCACCCAAGCTGGAGTGCATTGGACAATCTCAGCTCACATTTCATTTCACCATTCCATTCCATTCCAATCCATTGCATTCCATTCCACTCCACTCTACTCCACTCCATTCAATTCCATTCTTTCCCATTCCATTCCACTCCACTCCATTCCACTCCACTCCACTCCATTCAATTCCATTCCACCCCATTCCATTCCACTGCATTCCACTACACTCTACTCCACTTCACCGCATTCCATTTGATTCCATTCAATGCGATTCGATTCCATTCCAATCGATTCCTTTGCATTCCACTTGATTCCATTCGATTCCATTTGATTCCATTCGATTCCATTTGATTCCATTTGATTCCAATCCATTCAATTCAATTCGATTTGATTCAATTTGATTTGATTCCATTCGATTCTATTCCATTCCATTCCACTCCTCTCCGCTCCGCCTCACTCCACTCCACTCCAATCCACTCCTCTCCGCTCTCTTGAATTCCATTTCTTCCCATTCCGTTCCACTCCATTCCACTCCACTCCACTCCACTCCACGCCAATCCACTAAACTCCCCTCCATTCCCTTACATTTCATTCTGAATCCATTCCATTCCATTCCTTTCTTTGGACAGTTCCTCACTCTGTCACCCTGGCTGGAGTTCAGTTCACAATCTCCGCTCACATTTCATTTCACCATTCCAATCCATTCCATTGCATTCCCTTCCACTCCACTCTACTCCACTACATTAAATTCAATTCCTTCCCAGTCCATTCCATTCCACTCCATTCCACTCCACTCCACTCAATTCCATTCCACCCCATTCCATTCCACTCTATTCCACTCCACTCCACTCAATTCCCTTCCACCCCATTCAATTCCTCTCTATTCCACTCCACTCCACTTCACCGCATTCCATTCAATTCCATTTGATGCCTTTCGATTCCATTCAATTCGATTCCATTTGATTCCATGCAATTCCATTTTTTCCATTTGATTCCATTCGATTCAGTTCGATTCGATTCAATTCCACTCCATTCCATTCCTCTCCACTGCATTCCACTCCAATGCAGTCCACTGCACTGCACACCCTTCAGTTTCATTCCTTCCCATTCCATTCCAATCCACTCCATTCCACTCCACTGTGCTCCACTCCATTCAATTCCATTCCATCTCATTCCACTCCACTCCACTCCACTTCACCGCATTCCATTCCATTCCAATCCATTCGATTCCATTCTATTCCATTCCTCAATATTGCATTCCATTCGATTCCATTCTATTCGAATAAATTCCATTCGAGACCATCCCTTTTGAGTCCATTCTATTTCAGTCCATTCCATTAGAGTCCATTACATTTCGGTGCATTCCTTTCAATCCCATTCCATTCCATTCCATTCCATTCAATGTCACTCCATTCGATTCTATTCTATTCGAGTCCATTCCATTCCATTCGATGCCATTGCATTCGATTCAATTTCATTCGACTCCCTTCGATTCCATTCCGTTCCATCTGATTCCATTCCCTTCTATTCCTTTCCATTCCATTCCATTCCATATCATTCATTTCCATTCCATTAGAGTCATTCCACTCCAGTCCATTCCATTCGAGTCCATTTCATTTGAGTCCATTCCATTCCATTCCATTCCATTCCATTCCATTCCATTCAATTCCATTCCATTCGATATCATTCCATTACACTCCATTCCATTCTATTCCTTTCAATTCCATTCAATTCCATTCTATTCTATTCCATTCCTTTCGGTTCCATTCCATTCGTCTACATTCCATTTGAGTCCATTCCTTTCCATTCCATTCTGTTCCATTCGATTCCAATCCGTTTGATTTCATTTTTTTCCATTCCCTTCCATTCGAGTCCATTCCATTCGATTTCATTCCATTCGATTCCATTCCTTTCCATTCAATTCCACTGGATTCCTCTGCATTCAATTCCCCTGCATTCCGTTCTATTCCATTCCATTGCATTCAATTCCATTCCATTTTATTACATTCCATTCGATTCCATTCCATTCGAATCAATTACATTGCAATCCATTACATTCGAGTCCGTTCTATTCCAGTCCATTCCACTCCAGTCCATTCCATTCGATTCCATTCCATACTATTGCATTCCATTCGATTCCATTCTATTTGAATAAATTCCATTTGAGACAATTCCTTTCGAGTCCATTTTATTTGAGTCCATGCCATTCGAGTCAATTTTATTTGTGTCCATTCTATTCAATTCCATTCCACTCGATGCCATTCCATTGTATTCTATTCCATTCGAGTCCATTCCATTAGTTTCCATTCCATTCCATTCCATTCCATTCCATTCCATTCCATTTGATGCCATTCTATTCGATTCTATTCCATTCTAGTCCATACCATTCGAGTCCATTCCATTAGATTCCATTCCATTCGGTGCCATTCCAATCGATTCTATTCCATTCTACTCCATTCTATTCCATTCCGTTCCATCTGATTGCATTCCATTCTATTCTTTCCATTCAATTATATTCTATTCGTATCCATTACATTCGAGTCCATTCCACTCCAGTGCATTCCATTCAAGTCCATTCCATTCCAGT
>NC_000017.11:26860166-26876740 GCF_000001405.40 Homo sapiens | reverse complement strand
TTCCAATCCATTCAATTCCATTTTGTTCCAGTCCATCCCATTCGAGTCCATTACAGTCCATTCCATTCGATTCCATTCCATTTGATTCCATTCCATTGGATTCCAGTCCTCTCGATACCACTCTGTTCCATTCCATTGCATTCCATTCTATTCCCTTCCATTCATTATATTCCATTCCATTTGATTAGAATCCATTCTATTCCATTCCATTCGAATCTATTACATTGCAATCCATTACATTTGTATCCACTCTATTCCAGTCCATTCCATTCTGGTCCATTCCATTTGATTCCATTCCATTTGATTCCATTCAATACTATTGCATTCCCTTCAATTCGATTCTACTCGAATGAATTCCATTCGAGCCCACTCCTTGCGAGTCCGTTCTATTTGAATCCATTCAATTTGTGTCCACTACATTTGGGTCCATTCCATTCCATGGCATTCCATTCCATTCCATTCAATGCCATTCCATTCAACTATATTCCGTGAGAATCCATTCCTTTCGAGTCCATTCCATTCCATTCCATTCCATTCCATTCCATTCCATTCCACTCCATTCCATTTGATGCCATTCCATTCGATTCTATTCCATTCAACTGCATTCCGTTCCATTCCGTTCCATCTGATTCCATTCCATTATATTCATGTCCATTCCATTCCATTCGAGTCCATTCCACTCCAGTCCATTCTATTCAAGTCCATTCCACTCCAGTCAATTCCATTCAAGCCCATTCCATTCCAGTCCATTCCATTCGCGTCCATTCCATTCCATTCCATTCGATATCTTTCCATTGCCCTCCATTCCATTCAATTCCATTCCACCCAATTCCATTGCATTCGATTCCATACCTTTCAATTCCATTCCATTCAACTCCATTGCATTCGAGTCCATTCCATTTTATTCTGTTCTGTTCAATTCCAATCCGTTTGATTCCATTTTTTTCCCAAGTCCATTCCATTTGAGTCCATTACATTCGATTCCATTCCATTCAATTCAATTCCACTCGATTCCACTCCATTCCATTCCATTGCATTCCATATTATTCCACTCCATTGCCTTCCATTCCTTTCCATTTGATTACATTCCATTCGATTCCATTCGGTTCCATTCCATTTGACTCCATTCCATTCGAGTCCTTTCCATTCCATACCATTAAATTCCATTCCGTTCAATTAGACTCCAATCCGTTCCATTCCATTTTGTTCCAGTCCATTCCATTCGAGTCCGTTCCATTCCAGTCCAATCCATTCGATTCCACTCCATTCAATTCCATTCAACTCAATTCCACTCCATTCCATTGCATTCCATTCTATTCCATTAAATTGCATACCATTCCATTCGATTCCATTCCATTCAAATTAATAGCATTGCAATCCATTACATTCGAGTCCATTCTATTCCAATCCATTCCATTCCTGTCCATTCCTTTCAATTCCATTACATTCGATTCCATTCCATACTATTGCATTATATTCGATTCCATTCTATTTGAATGAATTCCATTGGAGACCATTCATTTTGAGTCAATTCTATCTGAGTCCATTCCATTCGAGTCCATTACATTTGGGTCCATTCCATTCCATTCCATTCGTTGCCATTACATTCGATTATCTTCCATTCGAGTCCATTCCATTCTATTCCATTACAATCCATTCCATTCCATTCAATGCCATTCCATTTGATTCTATTCCATTTGACTCCATTCCATTCCGTTCCATCCAATTCCATTCCATTCTATTCCTTTCCATTCCATTCCATTCCATTCGTTTCCATTGCTTTTGAGTCCATTCCACTCCTGTCCATTCCATTCGAGTCCATGCCATTCCAGCCCATTCCACTCGAGTCCATTCCATTCCATTCTGTTCCATTCGATGTCTTTCCATTATACTCCATTCCATTCTATTCCTTTTGATTCCATCCAATTCCATTCCCTTCGATTCCATTCCATTTGATTCCATTCCATTCGACTCTATTCAATTCGGGTTCTTTCCATTCCATTCCATTCCATTCTGTTCCATTCGATTCCAATCCATTCTATTCCATTTTGTTCGAGTCCATTCCATTTTATTCAATTCCATTGCATTCCATTCCATTCCATTAGATTATATTCCATTCGAATCCATTCCATTTGAAACAATTACATTGCAATCCATTACATTGGCGTCCATTCTATTCCAGTCTATTCCATTCCGGACCATTCCATTTGTTTCCATTTCATTCGATTAAATTCCATACTATTGCATTCCATTCGATTCCATTCTATTCGAGTAAATTCCATTCGAGACCATCCCTAACGAGTCCATTGTGTTTGAGTCCATTCCATTCGAGTCCATTACATTTGGGTCCATTCCATTCTGTTCCATTCCATTCCATTCGATTCCATTCCATTCGACTCTATTCCATTCGACTCCATTTCATTCCATTCCATTCCATCAGATTCCATTCCATTCTATACCTTTCCATTCCATTTCATTCCATTGCATTCCATTCGTTTCCATTACATTCGATTCCATTCCACTCCCATCCATTCCATTCGAGTCCATTCCATTCCAGTTCATTCCATTCGAGTCTACTCCATTCCATTCTATATGTTTCTATTATAATCCATTCTAGTTCATTCCATTCGAGTTTATTCCATTCCATTCCATTCGATTTCTTTCCATTATACTCCATTCCATTCTATTCCTTTCGATTCCATTCAATTCTTTTCCATTCAATTCCATTCCATTCGACTCCATTGCAATCGAGTCCATTCCATTCCATTCCATTCTGTTCCATTCGATTCCAATCCGTTTGATTCTATTTTTTTCCAGTCCATTCCATTCGATTCCATTTCATTCCAGTCCGTTACATTCGATTCCATGCCATTCGATTCCATTTAACTCGATTCCACTCCATTCCATTCTATTGCATTCCAATCTATTCCATTCCATTGCATTCCATTCCATTCAATTTGATTGCATTCCATGCGATTCCATTCCATTCGACTCAATTACATTGCAATCCATTACATTCGAGTCCATTCTATTACAGTCCATTGCATTGCGGTCCATTCCATTCAATTCCATTCCATTCGATTTCATTCCATACTATTGCACTCCATTCGATTCCCTTCTATTCGGGTCAATTCCATTCGAGACCATTCCTTTCAAGTCCATTCTATTTGAGTCCATTCCATTCGAGTCCATTACATTTCGGTCCATTCCATTCCATTCCATTCCATTCCATTCCATTCCATTCCATTCGATGCCATTCCATTCGAATCTATTCCATTCTATTATATTCCATTCGTCTCAATTCCATTCCATTCCTTTCCATCCAAATCCATTCCATTCTATTCCTTTCTATTCCATTGCATTCCATTCCATTCTATTCCATTCGTTTCCATTCAATTTGAGTCCATTCCATTCGATTCCATTCCATTCCAGTCCATTCCATTCGAGTCCATTCAATTCCATAACATTGCATTCAATACCTTTCCATTAAACTCCATTCCATTCTATTCCTTTCGATTTCATTCAATTCCATTACATTCGATTCCATTCCGTTTGATTCCATTCCATTTGACCCCCTTCCATTCGAGTCCATTCCATTCCATTCCATTCCATTCCAATCCGTTTGATTCCATTTTGTTCCAGTCCATTCCATTCGATTCCATTCCCTTCCAGTCCATTCCACACGATTCCATTCCACTCTATTCCACTCCATTCCATTCCATTGCATTCCATTCTATTCCATTCCATTGCATTCCATTCCATTCCATTTGATAACATTCCATACGATTCCATTCCATTCAAATCAATTACATTGTAATCCATTACATTCGAGTCCACTCTGTTAAAGTCCATTCCATTCTGGTCCAATCCATTCGATTCCATTCCTATCGATTCCATTCCATACTATTGCAATCCGTTCAATTCCATTCTATTCTAATAAATTCCAATTGAGACCATTCCTTTTGAGTCCATTCAGTTTGAGTCCATTCTATTTGAGTCCATTCCATTTGAGTCCATTACATTTGGGTCCTTTCCACTCCATTCCATTTCATTTCATTCCATTCCATTCGATGACATTCCATTCAATTCTATTCCATTTGAGTAAATTCCTTTTGATTCCATTCCATTCAATGCCATTCCATTCAGTTCTATTCCATTAGACCCCATTCCATTCCATTCCATTCCATCCGAAACCATTCCATTCTATTCTTTCCATTCCATTCCATTCTATTCCATTCCATTCCTTTCTTTTCCATTCCATTAGAGTCCATTCCACTCCATTCCAATCCATTCAATTCCATTCCATTCCAGTCCATTTAATTCGAGTCCATTCCATTCCATTCCATTCCATTCAGTATCTTTCCAGCACACTCCATTCCATTCTATTCCTTGCAATTCCATTCAATTCCATGCCATTCTATTCCATTCCATTCAATTCCATTCCATTCGACTCCATTCCTTTTGAGTCCATTAAATTCCATTCCATTCCATTCCGTTCCATTAGATTCCAATCAATTCCATTCCATTTTGTTCAAGTCCATTCCTTTCGATTCCATTCCATTCCAGTCCATTCCATTTGATTCCATTCCATTCGATTCCATTCCATTCTATTCCATTCCACTCGATTCCACTCTCTTCCATTTCATTGCATTCCAATCTCTTCCATTCCATTGCATTCCATTCCATTCCATTTGATTACATTTCATTCAATTCCATTCCGTTTGAATCAATTACATTCAAATCCATTGCATTCGAGTCCCTTCTATTCCAGTCCATTCCATTCTGGTCCATTCCATTCGATTCAGTTCCATTTGATTCCATTCAATACTATTGGATTACATTAGTTTCCATTCTATTTGAATGAATTCCATTTGAGACCATTGCTTTCAAGTCCATTCCATTAAATTCCATTATATTCGAATCCATTATATTTGGGTCCATTCCATTCCATTCCATTTGATGCCATTCCATTCGATTCCATTCCGTTTGAGTCCATTCCATTCCATTCCATTCGAAGCCATTACTTTCTATTCTATTCCATTCTACTCCATTCCCTTCCATTCCATTCCATCTGACTCCATTCCATTCTATTCCTTTCCATTCCATTCCATTCCATTCCGTTCTTTTCCATTTCATTCGAGTAAATTCCACTCCAGTCCATTCCATTCGAGTCCATTCCATTCCAGTCCATCCCATTCGAGTCCATTCCATTCCATTCCATTCAATATCTTTCCATTACACTCCATTCCAGTCTATTCCTTTTGTTTCCATTCATTTCCATTCCATTTGATTCCTTTCCATTCGATTCCATTTCATTTGACTCCATTCTGTTCAAGTCCATTCCATTCCATTCCATTCCGTTCCATTCGATTCCACTCCATTACAGTCCATTCCATTCGATTCCATTCCACTCAATTCCACTCCGTTCCGTTCCATTGCATTCCATTCTATTCCATTCCCTTGCATTCCCTTCCATTCCATTGTATTAGATTCCATTCAATTCCATTCCATTCGAATCAATTACATTGCAATCCATTCCATTCGTGTACGTTCTATTCCAGTCATTTCCATTCCAGTCCATTCCATTCGATTCCATTCCATTTGATTCCATTCCATTCGAATCAATTACATTGCAATCCATTACATTCGAGTCCTTTCTATTACATTCCATTCCATTCCGGTCCATTCCATTCAATTCCATTCCATTCGATTCCATTCCATACTATTGCATTCCATTCGATTCCTTTCTATTTGAATAAGTTCCATTCGAGAACATTCCTTTAAATTCCGTTCTATTTGAGTCCATTCCATTTGAGTCCATTACATTTGGGTCCATTCCATTCCATTGCATTCCATTCCATTCCATTCGATACCATTCCATTCGATTCTATTCCATTCAAATCCATTCCATTCGAGTCTATTCCATTCCGTTCCATTCCATTCAATTCTATTCCATTCGACTCCATTCCATTAGATTCCATTCCTTTCAATTCCGTTCGACTCCATTCCATTCCATTCCATTCCATTCCATTCCGTTCCGTTAGATTCCAATCTGTTTGATTCCATTTTTTTCCATTCCATTCCATTCGAGTCCACTACATTCGATTCCATTCCATTGGATTCCATTTAATTCGATTCCATTCCGCTTGATTCCCCTCCGTTCCATTCGATTCCATTCCATTCTATTCCATTCCATTGCATTACATTCCATTCCATTTGATTACATACCAACCGATTCCATTCCATTCATATCAATTACATTGTAATCCATTACATTTGGGTCCGTTCTATTCCAGTCCATTCCATTCATGTCTGTTCCATTCGATTAGTTTCTCTTTAATTCCATTTCATACAATTGCATTCCATTCGATTCCATTCTAATCGAATAAATTCGTTCGAGCCCATACCTTTCGAGTCCATTCTATTTGAGTCCATTCCTTTCGAGTCCATTACATTTGGGTCCATTCCATTTCATTCCATTCCATTCCTTTCCATTCGATGTCATTCCATTCTATTCTATTCCATTCAAGTCCATTCCATTCGAGTCCATTCCTTTCCATGCCATTCCAGTCCATTCAATGCCATTCCATTCAATTCTATTCCATTCGACTCCATTCCATTCCATTTCATTGCATCCGATTCCATTCCATTCTATTCCTTTCCATTCCATTCCATTCCATTCCATTCGAGTCCATTCCACTCCAGTCCATTCCATTCCAGTCCATTCCATTCGGGTCCATTCCATTCCATTCAATATCTTTCCTTTGCACTCCATTCCATTCTATTCCATTCCATTAAACTCCATTCCATTCTATTCCTTTCGATTCCATTCAATTCCATTCCATTCGATTCCATTCCATTCTTTTCTATTTCATTCGACTCCATTCCATGCGAGTCCATCCCATTCCATTCCGTTTGATTCCAATCCGTTCGATTCCATTTTTTTCCTGTCCATTCCATTCGAGTCCATTCAATTCCAGTCCATTCAATTCGATTCCTTTCCATTAAATTCCATTCCACTACATTCCCCTCCCTTCCTTTCCATTGCATTCCATTCTATTCCATTACATTGCATACCATTCCATTCCATTTGATTACATTCCATTCAATTCCATTCCATTCAAATCAATTATATTACAATCCATTACATTGGAGTCCATTCTATTCCAATACATTCCATTCCGGTCCATTCCATTTGTTTCCATTCCAATCGAGTCCATTCCACTCCACTCCGTTCCATTCGAGTTCATTCCATTCCAATCCATTCCATTCTATTCCATTCCATTCCATTCGATTTCTTTCTATTACACTCCGTTCCATTCTATTCCTTTCGATTCCATTCAATTCCATTCCATTTGATTCCATTTCATTCGACTCCATTCCATTCGAGTCCATTCCATTAAATTCCCTTCCCTTCTGTTCCGTTCGATTCCAATCCTTTCAGTTCCATTTTTTTCCAATCCATTCCATTCGAGTCCATTCCATTAAATTCCCTTCCCTTCCGTTCCGTTCGATTCCAATCCTTTCAATTCCATTTTTTTTCCAATCCATTCAATTCAAGTCCTTTCCATTCCAGTCCATTCCATTCAATTCCATTCCATTCGATTCCATTCCACTCGATTCCACTCCATTCCATTCCATTGCATTCCTTTCTATTCCATTTCATTATATTTGATTACATTCCTTTGGATTCCATTCCATTCGAATCAAATACATTGCAATCCATTACATTCGAGTCCTTTCTATTCCAGTCCATTCCATTCCGTTCCATTCCATTTGATTCCTTTCCATTCTATTCCATTCTATACTATTTCTTTCTATTCGATTCCATTCCATTGCATTCCATTCCATTCCATTCCATTCAATGCCATTCCATTCTTTTCTATTCCATTCGACTCCATTCCATTCCATTCCGTGCGATTCCATTCCATTCTATTCCTTTCCATTCCATTCCATTCCATTCGTTTCCATTCCATTCGAGCCCATTCCACTCCGGTCAATTCCATTCGAGTCTATTCCACTCCAGTCCATTCCATTCGAGTCCATTCCTTTCGAGTCCATTCCATTCCATTCCATTCCATTTGATAACTTTCCATTACAATCCATTCCATTCCATTCATTTAGATTCCATTCAATTCCATTCCGTTCAATCTCATTCCATTCGATTCCATTCCATTTAACTCCAATCCATTCGTGTCATCCCATTCCATTCCATTCCATTCCATTCAATTCCAATCCATTCGATTCCATTTTATTCCATTCCATTCGATTCGAGGCCATTCCATTCCAGTCCATTCCACACGATTCCATTCCACTCGATTCCACTCCATTCCATTCCATTGCATTCCATTCTATTCCATTCCATTGCTTTCCATTCCATTCCATTGGATTATGCTCCGTTCGATTCCAATCCATTCAAATCAATTACATTGCAATCCATTACATTCGAGTCCATTCTATTCCTGTCCATTCCATTCCGGTCAATTTCATAAGATTACATTCCACTCGATTCCATTCCATACTATTTCATTCCACTCGATTCCATTCTATTCAAGTAAATACTATTCTAGACCATTGCTTTCGAGTCCATTCTATTTGAGTCAATTCCATTCAAGTCCATTACATTTGGGTCCATTCCATTCGATGCAATTCGTTGCCATTCCTTTTGATTCTATGCATTCGAGTCCATTCCATTCGAGTCCCTTCCATTCCATTCCATTAGATGCCATTGCATTCGATTCTATTCTATTTGACTCCATTCCACTCCATTCTGTTCCAACCGATTCCATTCTATTCTATTCCTTTCCATTCCATTCCAGTCCATCCATTCCATTCCAGTCCATTCCATTAGAGTCTTTTACATTCGACTCCATTCCATTCGAGTCCATTCCATTCCATTACATTCTATTCCGTACCATTCGATTCCAATCCGTTTAATTCCATTTTGTTCCAGTCCATTCCATTCGAATCCATTCCATTCCAGTCCTTTCCAATCGTATCTATTCCATTATAATCCATTCCATTCGGTTCCATTCCACTCGATTCGACTCCGTTCCATTCCATTGCATTCCATTCTATTACATTCCATTCCATTCGAGTCCATTCCTTTCGACTCTATTTCTTTTGAGTCCATTCCTTTCGAGTTCATTCCGTTCCATTCCATTGCATTCCATTCCATTCCATTCCAGTCCATTTGAAGCCATACCATTGGATTCTATTACATTCAACTCCATTCCATTCCATTTCGTTTCATCCGATTCCATTCCATTCTATTCCTTTCCATTCCATTCCATTCCGTTTGTTTCCATTCCATTCGAGTCCATTCCACTCCAGTCCATTCCATTCGAGTCCATTCCATTCCAGTCCATTCTGTTCGAGTCCATTCCATTCCATTCCATTCGCTGTCCTTCCATTACACTCCATTCCATTCTTTTCCTTTCGATTCTATTCAATTCCATTTGATTCGATTGCATTCCATTCAATTCCATTCCATTTGACGCCATTCCATTTGACTCCATTCCATTCGAGTCCATTCCATTCCATTCCCATCCGTTCGATTCCATTTTGTTCCCGTCCATTCCATTCAGTTCCTTTCGACTCCATTCCATTTGATTCCATTCCATTCCATTCGATTCCATTCCACTCGATTCCACTCCGTTCCATTCTTTTGCATTCTATTCTATTCCATTCCATTGTATTCCTTTCCATTCCATTTGATTTCATTCCATTCGATTCCAAGGCATTCAAATCAATTACTTTTTTATCCATTACATTCGAGTCCATTCTATTCCAGTACATTCCTTTCCGGTTAATATGATTCAATTCCATTTCATTCGATTCCATTCCATAATATTGAATGACTTTCTATTCCATTCCATTCAAATAAATTACATTCGAGACCATTCCATTCGCGTCCATTCTATTTGATTCCATTCCATTCGAGTCCATTATATTTGGGTCCATTCCATTCCATTCCTTTCCATTCCATTCGACGCCATTCCATTCGATTCTCTTCCGTTAGAGTCCATTCCATTCGAGTCCATTCCATTCCATTCCAGTCGATGCAATTCCATTCGATTCTATTCCATTCGACTCCATTCCATTCCATTCCATTCCATTCCATTCCATCCGATTCCATTCCATTATATTCCTTTCCATTCCATTCCTTGCTATTCCATTCCATTCGTTTCCATTCCGTTCAATGCCATTCCATTTGATTCTATTCCATTTGACCCCATTCCATTCCATTCCGTTCCATCAAATTCCATTCCATTCAATTCCTTTCCATTCCCTTCCATTCCATTCATTTCCATTCCATTTGTGTCCATTCCACTCCTGTCCATTTCAATAGAGTACATTTCATTCCAGTCCATTCCATTCGAGTACATTCCATTCCATTCAATATCATTCCATTACACTCCATTCCTTTCTGTTCTTTTCGACTCCATTGAATTCCATTCCAACTGATTCCATTCCATTCGATTCCATTCCATTCGACTCCATTCCATTCAAATCCCTTCCATTCCATTCCATTCCTTTCCATTCGAATCCAATACATTCTATTCCATTTTGTTCCAGTCCATTCCATTCGAGTCCATTCCATTCCAGTCCATTCCATTGGATTCCATTCCATTCGATTCCATTCCACTTGATTCAACTCCGTTCCATTCCATTGCATTCCATCTATTCCATTCAATTGCATTCCATATCATACCATTTGATTACATTCCATTCAATTCCATTCCATTTGAATCAATTACCATGCAATCCATTACACTGAAGTCAGTTCTATTCCAGTCCATTCCATTCTGGTCCATTCTATTTGATTCCATTCCATACTATTGCATTCCATTCGATTCCATTCTATTCGAATAAATTCCATTTGAGATCATTCCTTTCGAGTCCATTCTATTTGAGTATATTCCATTTGAGTTGATTACATTTGGGTACATTCTATTCCATTCCATTCCATGCCATTCCATTCGTGTCCATTCCATTCGAGTCCATTCCACTTCATTCCTTTCCATTCCATTCCATTCGATGCCATTCCAATCGATTCTCTTCCATTCGACTCCATTCCATTCCATGTTGTCCCATCCTATTACGTTCCATTGTATTCCTTTCCATTTCATTACATTCTATTCCATTCGTTTCCATTACATTCAAGTCCATTCCACTCCAGTCCATTCCATTCGAGTCCATTCCATTCCAGTCAATTCCATTCGAGTCCATTCCATTCCATTCCATTTGATATCTTTCCATTACACTCCATTCCATTCCATTCCATTTGATATCTTTCCATTACACTCCATTCCATTCTATTCCTATCAATTCCATTCAGTTCCATTCTATTCGAATCCACTCCATTCAATTCCATTCCATTCGACTCCATTCCAATCGAGTCCATTCCATTCCATTCCATTCCTTTCCATTCCATTCTATTCCGATCCGTTCGATTCCATTGTGTTCCAGTCCCTTCCATTAGAGTCCATTCCATTCCAGTCCATTCCATTCGATTTCATTTCATTCAATTCCCTTCCTTTTGATTCCATTGCACTTGATTCCACTCTCTTCCATTCCATTGTCTTCCATTGTATTCCGTTCCATTGCTTTCCATTCTATTGCATTCCATTGCATTCCATTCCATTCCGTTTGATTACATTCCATTAGATTCCATTCCATTTGAATCAATCACATTGCAATTCATTTCATTCGAGTCCATTCTATTCCAGTCCAATCCATTCTGGTCCATTACATTCGCTTCCATTCCATTCGATTCCATACCATACAATTGCATTCCATTTGATTCCGTTCTATTCGAATAAATTCCATTCGAGACCATTAATTTCGAGTCCATTCTATTGGAGTCCATTCCATTCGAGTCCATTACATTTGGGTCCATTCCATTCCATTTCAATCCATTCCATTCCATTCCATTCCATTCCATTTCATTCGATGCCATCCCATTCTATTCTATTCCATTGGAGTCCATTCCATTCGATTCCATTCCATTCGAACTCATTCCATTTGATTGCACTGCACTCGATTCCACTCCATTCCATTCCATTGCATTCCATTGTATTCTGTTCCATTTCATTCCATTCTATTGCATTCCATTCCATTCCATTCCATTCCATTCAATTTGATTACATTCCATTCGATTCCATTCCATTCAATTCAATTACATTGCAATACATTTCTTTCGAGTCCATTCCTTTTCAGTCCATTCCATTCCGGTCCTTTCCATTCGTTTCCATTCCATTCGATTGCATACCATACAATGGCAATCCATCTGATTCCATTCGATTCGAATAAATTCCATTCAAGACCATTCCTTTCGAGTCCATTCTATTTGAGTCCTTTCCTTTCGAGTCCATTACATTTGCGTCCATTCCATTCCATGACATTCCATTACATTACATTCGATGCCATTCCATTCGATTTTATTCCATTTGAGTTCATTCGATTCGAGTCCTTTCCATTCCATTCCAGTCCATTCCATTTGATGCCATTCCATTCTATTCTATTTCATTCGACTCCAATCCATTCCATTCCATTCCATCCAATTCCATTCCATTCGATTCTGTTTCATTTGACTCCATTCCATTACATTCCGTTCCATCCGATTCCATTCCATTCTATTCCTTTCCATTCCATTCCTTTGCATTCCATTCCATTCGTTTCCATTCCATTCGAGTCTATTCCTCTCCAGTCCATTCCACTAGAGTCCATTCCATTCCATTCCGTTCCATTTGAGTGCACTCCATTCCAGTCCATTCCATTCGAGTCCATTCCATTTAATTCCATTCCATTTGATATCTTTCCTTTACACTCCATTCCATTCTATTCCTTTCACTTAAATTCGATTGCATTCCATTCGACTCCATTCCATTGTAATCCATTCCATTCCATTCCATTTCATTCCATTGCATTCCATTCCATCCCATTCCATCCTGTTCCAATCGATTCCTATCCATTCGATTCTGTTTTGTTCCAGTCCATTCCATTCGACTTATTTCCACTTGATTCGATTCCATTCGATTCCATTCCATTCGACTCCATTCCATTCGAGTCCATTCCATTCCATTCCATTTGTTTCCATTCCATTCGAGTCCATTCCATTCCAGTCCATTCCATTCGATTCCTTTTCACTCCAGTCCATTCTATTCGATGCCATTCCATTCCAGTCCATTCCATTGGAGTCCACTCCATTCCATTCCAATCGATGCCATTCCATTCGATTTTATTCCATTCAAATCCATTCCCTTCCATTCCATTCCATCTGATTCCATTCCATTCTATTCCTTTCCATTCCATTCCGTTGCGTTCCATTCCATTTGTTTCCATTGCATTCGAGGCCATTCCACTCCAGTCTATTCCATTCGAGACCATTTCATTCCAGTCCATTCCATTTGAGTCCTTTCCATTCCTTTCCATTCGATATCTTTCCATGACACTCCATTCCATTCTATTCGTTTCATATCCATTCAATTCCATTCCATTTGATTCCATTCCATTCGATTCCATTCCATTCCGTTCCATTCCATTCTGTTTCGTTCGATTTTAATCAGTTCGATTCCATTTTGTTCCTGTCCATTACATTCTAGTCCACTCCATTCAAGTCCATTCCATTGAATTCCATTCCATTCGATTCCATTCCACTCCATTCCACTCCGTTCCATTCCATTGCATTCCATTCTATTCCATTCATTTGCATTCCATTCCATTCCATTTGATTCCATTCCATTCGAATCAATTTTATTGCAATTCATTACATTCGAGTCCGTTCTACTCCTGTCCATTCCATTCTGGTCCATTCCGTTCAATTCCATTCTATTCGAGTCCGTTCCATTCCAGTCCATTCCATTCGATTCCTTTTCACTCCAGTCCATTCTATTCGATGCCATTTCATTCCAGTCCATTCCATTCGAATCCATTCCATTCCATTCCAATCGATGCTATTCCATTCGATTTTATTCCATTCGACTCCATAGCCTTCCATTCCATTCCATTTGATTCCATGCCATTCTATTCCTTTCCATTCCATTCCGTAGCATTCCATTCCATTTGTTTCCATTGCATTCGAGTCCATTCCACTCCAGTCTATTCCATTCGAGACCATTTCATTCCAGTCCATTCCATTTGAGCCCTTTCCATTCCTTTCCATTCGATATCTTTCCATTACACTCCATTCCATTATATTCATTTCGTATCCATTCAATTCCATTCCATTTGATTCCATTCCATTCGATTCCATTCCATTCCGTTCCATTCCATTCCCTTCCGTTCAATTGTAATCAGTTCAATTCCATTTTGTTCCTGTCCATTACATTCTAGTCCACTCCATTCAAGTCCATTCCATTGAATTACATTCCATTCGATTCCATTCCACTCGATTCCACTCCGTTCCACTCCATTGCATTCCATTCTATTCCATTCCTTTGCATTCCATTCCATTCCATTCCTTTGCATTCCATTCCATTCCATTTGATTACATTCCATTTGATTCCATTCCATTCGAATCAATTTTATTGCAATTCATTACATTCGAGTCCGTTCTATTCCTGTCCATTCCATTCTGGTCCATTCCGTTCAATTCCATTCCATTCGATTCCATTCCATACTATTGCATTCCATTCGATTCCATTCTATTCAAATAGATTTCATTCGAGACCATTTCTTTCGATTCCACTCTGTTTGAGTCCATTCAATTCGTGTCCATTACATTTGGGTCCATTCCATTCCATTCCATTCCATGCCATTCCATTCCATTACATTCGATGCCTTTTCATTCGATTATATTCCCTTCGAGTCCATTCCATTCCATTCCATGCCATTCCATTCCATTACATTCGATGCCTTTTCATTCGATTATATTCCCTTCGAGTCCATTCCATTCCATGCCATTCCATTCCATTACATTCGATGCCTTTTCATTCGATTATATTCCCTTCGAGTCCATTCCATTCCAGTCCATTCCATTTGATGCCATTCCTTTCGATTCTATTCCATTCGACTCCATTCCCTTCCATTACTTTCCATACGAATCCATTCCATTCTATTCCTTTCCTTTCCATTCCATTCCATTCCATTCCATTGTATTCCACTCCATTCGTTTCCATTCAATTCGACTCCATTCCACTCCGATCCATTCCATTCGAGTCCATTCCACTCCAGTCCATTCCATTTGAGTCCAATCCATTCGAGTCCATTCCATTCAATATCTTTCCATTACACTCCATTCCATTCAATATCTTTCCATTACACTCCATTCCATTGTATTCCTTTCAATTCCATTCAATCCCATTCCATTCCATTCGACTCCATTCCACTTGATTCCATTCCACTCGACTCCATTTCTTTCGACTCCATTCCATTCCATTCCATTCCAATGCATTCCATTCCATTCCATTCCGTTCCATTCGATTCCAATCCATTGAATTCCATTTTGTTCCTGTCCATTTCATTCTAGCCCATTCCATTCCAGTCCATTCCACTCAATTCCATTCCATTCAATTCCATTCCACTCGATTCCACTCCGTTCCATTCCATTGCATTCCATTCTATTGCATTCCATAGCATTCCATTCCATTCCATTTGATTACATTCCATTCGATTCCAGTCCATTTGAATCAATTACATTGCAATCCATTACATTCGAGTCCGTTCTATTCCAGTCCATTCCATTCTGGTGCATTCCATTCGATTCCATTCAATTTGATTCCATTCCATACTATTTAATTCCTTTCGATTCCATTCCATACTATTTCATTCCGTTCTATTCCATTCTATTCGAATAAATTCCATTCGAAACCATTCCTTTCAAGTCCATTCTATTTGAGTTCATTCCATTCGAGTCCATTATATTTGGGTGCATTCCATTCCATTCCATTCAATGCCATTCCATTCGATTCTATTCCATTCGAGTCCATTCCATTCGAATCCATTCCATTCCATTCCATTCCATTCCATTCCATTTGATTATATTCCATTCGACTCCATTCCATTCGATTCCGTTCCATCCAATTCCATTCCATCTTTTCCTTTCCATTCCATTCCATTCCTTTCGAGTCCATTGCATTCCAGTCCATTCCATTCGAGTCCATTCCATTCCATTCCATTTCTTTCGATATCTTTCCGTTACACTCCACTCCATTTTATTCCTTTTGATTCCATTCAATTCCATTTCATTCAATTCAATTCTATTAAATTCCATTCCATTCGATTCCATTCCATTTGACTCCATTCCATTCGAATCCATTCCATTCCATTGAATTCCAATCCATTCGATTCCATTATGATCCACTCCATTCCATTCGACTGCATTCAATTCCAGTCCATTGCATTCAAGTCCATTCCATTCGATACCTTTCCACTTGATTCCACTGCGTTCCATTCCATTGCATTCCGTTCTGTTCCATTCCATTGCATTCCATTCCATTCCATTTGATTACATTCCATTCGATTCCATTCCATTCGAATCATACACATTGCAATGCATTACATTCGTGTCTGTTCTATTCCAGTCCACTCCTTTCCGGTCCATTCCCTTTGATTCCATTCCATTCGATTCC
>NC_000017.11:26820266-26859724 GCF_000001405.40 Homo sapiens | reverse complement strand
TTCAATTCTATTCCATTTGACTCCATTCCATTCCATTCTATTCCATCCGATTCCATTCCATTCTATTCCTTTCCATTCCATTCCATTGCATTCCATTCCATTCGTTTGCATTCCATTCGAGTCCATTCCACTCCAGTCCATTCCATTTGAGTCCATTCCATTCGAGTCCATTCCATTCCAGTCCATTCCACCCCAGTCCATTCCTTTTGAGTCCATTCCATTAAATTCCATTCCATTGGTTATCATTCCGTTACACTCCTTTCCATTCTATTCCTTTTGAATAAATTCAATTCCATTCTATTCGATTCCATTCCATTCGACTCCATTCCATTTGATTCCATTCCATTCCTTTCCATTCCGTTCCATCCCATTCCGTTTGATTCCAATCCGTTCGATTCCAATTTTTTCCAGTCTATTCTATTCGAATCCATTCCATTCCGTTCCATTCCATTCAATTCCATTCCATTTGATTCCATTCCACTCGATTCCACTGTGTTCCATTCCATTGCATTCCATTTTATTCCATTCCGTTGCATTCCGTTCCATTCCATTTGAATACATTCCATTCAATTCCATTCCATTTGAATCTACTACATTGCAATACATTACATTCGTGACCATTCTGTTCCTGTCCATTCCATTCCGCTCCATTCAATTCGCTTCCATTCCATTCGATTGCATTCCGTGCTATCTCATACCATTTCATTCCATTCAATTCGAATAAATTCCTTTCAAGACCATTCCTTTTGGGTCCATTCTATTTGAGTCCATTCCATTCGATTCCATTACATTTGGGTCCATTCCATTCCATTCCATGACATTCCATTCGATTCTATTCCATTCGTGTCCATTCCATTCGAGTCCATTCCATTCCATTCCATTCCATTCCATTCCATTCTAATCCATTCGATGCCATTCCATTGGATTCTATTCCATTCGACTCCATTCCATTCCATTCCATTCCATCCAATTACATTCCATTCTTTTCCTTTCCATTCCATTACATTCTATTCCAATCCAATCTATTCCATTCCATTAGTTTCCATTCCATTCGAGTCCATTCCTCTCCTGTCCATTCCATTCAAGTCCATTCCATTCCATTCTAGTCCATTTCATTCCATTCCCTTTAAATTCGATATCTTTGAATTACACTTGATTCCATTCTATTATTTTTGATTCCATTCTTTTCTTTTCGATTCCATTCAATTCCATTCCACTCGATTCCATTCCATTCGATTCCATTCCATTCGTTTCTAATCGACTCGATCCCACTCTGTTCCATTCCACTGCTGTCCATTCTATTCCATTCTATTGAATTCCATTCTATTCCATTCCGTTGTATTCTATTCCTTTCCATTTGATTACATTCCATTAGATTCCATTTGGTTCCATTCCATTCAAGTCCTTTCCCTTCCATTCCATTCATTTCCAATCTGTTCACTTTGACTCCAATCCGTTCGATTACATTTTATTTCAGTCCATTCCATTCGAGTCCATTCCATTACAGTCCAATCCATTTGATTCCCTTCCATTTGATTCCATTCCATTCGATTCCATTACACTGGATTCCATTCTATTCCATTCCATTCCATTGCATACCATTCAATTCCATTTGATTACATTCCATTCTATTCCATTCCATTGAAATCAATAGCATTGCAATCCATTACATTCGAGTCCATTCTGTTCCAGTCCATTCCATTCCGGTCCATTCCATTCGATTCCATTCCATTCGAGTCCATTCCAAACTATTGCATTCCTTTTGATTCCATTCTATTCGAATACATTCCATTCGAGACCATTCCTTTCGAGTTCATTCTATTTGAGTCTATTCCTTTAGAGTCCATTACATTTGGGTCCATTCCATTCTATTCCCTTCCATTGCATGCCATTCTATTTGATTCTATTCCATTCGAGTTCCTTCCATTCAATTCCATTCCAATCCTTTCGATGCCATTCCTTTTGATTGTATTCCATTCGAGTCCATTCCATTCGATTCCATTCCAATCCATTCCACTCCATTCGATGCCATTCCATTCAATTCTAGTCCATTCGATTCTGTTCCTTTCCATTCCATTCCATCCGATTCCATTCCATTCTATTCCTTTCCATTCCATTCCATTCTATTCGTTTCCATTCCTTTCGAGTCCATTCCATTCCAGTCCATTCCATTCAAGTCCGTTCCATTTCAGTATATTCCGTTTGAGTCCATTCCATTCCTTTCCATTTTATATCTTTCCATTTCACTGCATTCCATTCCATTCCATTCCATTCGATGCCATTCCATTATATTATATTCCTTTCATGTGCTTTCCCTTTGAGTCCATTCCATTCCTTTCCATTGGATGCCATTCCATTCTATTGCATTCCATTTGACTCCATTCCACTAAATTCCATTGCATTCCATTCTATACCTTTGCATTGCATTCCATTCTATTCCATTCCATGGCATTCCTTTCCATTACATTTGATTACATTGCATTCAATTACATTCCATTCCAGTCTATTCCATTCCATTGCATTACATTCTATTCCATTTCAAGCATTCAATTCCGTTCCATTTGATTACATTCCAATTGATTTCCTTCCATTCGAATTTAATACATTGCAATCCATTACATTCGAGTCCAATCTATGTCAGTCCATTCCATTTCGGTCCATTCCATTTGATTCCATTCCATTCGATTCCATTCCACACTATTGCATTCCATTCGATTCCTTTCTATTCGAATAAATTCCATTCAAGACCATTCCTTTCGATTCCATTCTATTTGAGTCCATTCCTTTCAAGTTCATTACATTTAGTTCCATTCCATTCTATTCTATTCCATTCGAGTCCATTCCATTCCATTCCATTCCATTCCATTCCATTCCATTCCATTCCATGCCATTCCATTCAATTGTATTCCATTCGACTTCATTTCTTTGCATTCCATTCCATCCAATTCCATTCCATTCTATACCTTTCCATTCCATTTGTTTCCATTCCATTCGAATCCATTCCATTCCATTCCATTCGATGCCATTCCATTCGATTCTATTGCATTTGACTCCTTTAAATTCCATTCCATTCCTTCCGATTCCATTCCATTGTATTCCTTTCCATTCCATTCCATTGCATTCCATTCCATTCCACTCTGTCCATTCCATTCCGTTCCATCTGATTTCATTCCATTCGATTCCTTTCCATTCCATTCCATTAAATTCCATTCCAATCAATTCGTTTCCATTCCATTCGAGTCCATTCCACTCCAGTCCATTCCATTCCAGTCCATTCCATTGCAGTCCATTCCATTCAATTCCAATCCATTTCATTAGATATCTTTCCATTAAACTCCATTCCATTCTATTTCATTTGATTCCATTCAATTGCATTCCACTCAATTCCATTCCATTCGACTCCATTCCATTGGGGTCCATTCCATTCCATTCCTTTCTGTTCGATTCCAATCAGTTCCATTCCATTTTGTTACAGTCCATTCCATTTGATTCCATTCCGTTCCAGTCCATTCCATTCGATTCCATTCCATTCCATTCAATTCCATTCCATTTGATTCCATTCCACTTGATTCCTCTCCGTTCCATTCCATTCCATTACATTCTTTTCCATTCCATTGCATTCCATTGCGTTCCACTCCGTTAGATTACATTCCATTCGATTCCATTCCATTCGAATCAATTACCTTGCAATCCATTTCTTTCGAGTCCATTCTACTCCAGTACATTCCATTCCGGTCCATTCCATTCTATTCCATTCTATTAGATTCCAATCCATTCGACTCCATTCCATTCTATTTCTTTTGATTCCATTGAATTCCATTCCATTCTATTCTATTCCATTCGATTCCATTGCGTTTGACTCCATTCCGTTTGATTCCATTCCATTCCGTTCCTTTCCATTCCATTCAGTTCCGTTCCATTCGATTCCAGTCCATTAGATTGCATTTTGTTCCATTCCATTCCATTCAAGTCCATTCCATTCCAGTCCATTTAATTTGATTCCATTCCATTCGATTCCATTCCATTCAATTACATTCCACTCAATTCCACTCAGTTCCATTCCATTGCATTTCATTCTATTCCATTCCATTGCTTTCCATTCCATTCCATTTGTTTACATTCCATTCGATTCCATTCCATTTGAATCAATTACATTGCAATCCATTATATTCCAGTCCGTTCTCTTCCTGTCCATTCCATTCCAGTCCATTCCGTTCGATTTCATTCCATACTATTGCATTCCTTTCGCTTCCATTCTATTCGAATAAATTCCTTTCGAGATCATTACTTTTGAGACCATTCTTTTTGAGTCCATTCCATTCGAGTCTGTTACGTTTTGGTCCATTCAATTCCACTCCATTTCATTCCATTCCATTGCTTTCGATGCCATTCTATTATATTCTATTCCATTCGAGTCCATTCCAGTTGAATCCATTCAATTCCATTCCATTCCATTTGATGCCATTCCATTTGATTCTATTCCATTCGACTCCATTCCATTCGACTCCATTCCATTCCATTACTTTCTATTCCATTCCATTCCACTCTATTCCTTTAAATTCCATTCCATTCCATTCGTTTCCATTCCATTCGAGTCCATTCCACTCCAGTGCATTCCATTCGAGTCCATTCCATTCCAGTGCATTCCATTTGAGTCCATTCCATTCCATTCCATTCGATATCTTTCCATTACACTCCAATCCATTCTTTTCCTTTCGATTCCATTCAATTCCATTCCATTAGGTTCCATTCCTTTCGATTCCATTCCATTCGACTCCATTCCATTCGACTCCATTCCATTCGAGTCCATTCCATTCCATTCCATTGCATTCCGTTCTGTTTGATTCCAATTCGTACAATTCCATTTTATTCCAGTCCATTCCATTCCAGTCCATTCCATTCGATTCCGTTACGTTCGATTCCATTCCACTCGATTCCACTCCGTTCCATTCCATTGCATTCCATTCTATTCCATTCCATTGCATTCCATTCCATTCCATTCGATTTCATTCCATTTGATTCCATTCCATTTGATTCCATTCCATTTGATTCCATTCCATTCGAATCAATTACATTGCAATAAATTGCATTCGAGTCAGTTTTATTCCAGTCCATTCCATTCCGTTCCATTCCATTTGATTCCATTCCATTATATTCCATTCCATAATATTGCAATCCTTTCCATTCCATTCTATTCGAATTAATTCCATTCGAGACTATTTCTTTCGAGTCCATTCTATTTGTGTCCATTCCATTCAAGCCCATTACATTTGGGTCCATTCCATTCCATTCCATTCCAATCCATTCCATTCCATTCCATTCCGTTCTATTCCATTAGAGTCCATTCCATTCGAGTCCTTTCCATTCCATTCCATTCGATGCCATTCCATTCGATTCTATTCCAATAGACTCCATTCCCATCCATTGTATTCCCTCCGATTCCTTTCCATTTCTATTCCTTTCCATTCCATTCCATTGCATTCCATTCCATTCCATTCGTTTCTATTCCATTCGACTCCTTTCCACTCCGGTCCATTCCTTTCAAGCCCATTCCATTCTAGTCCATTCCATTCGAGGCCATTCCATTTCCATTGCATTCGATATGTTTCCATTACACTCCATTCCATTCTATTCCTTTCGTTTCCATTCAATTTCATTCCATTTGATTCCATTACTTTCCATTCAATTCCATTAGACTCCATTCCATTCGTGTCCATTGCATTCCATTCCGTTCCATTCTATTCCAATCTGTTCGATTCCGTTTTGTTCCAGTACATTCCATTCGACTCCATTCCTTTCCAGTCCATTTCATTCAATTCCATTCCATTTGCTTCCATTCCATTTGATTCCATTCCACTCGATTCCAGTCTGTTCCATTCCATTGCATTCCATTCTATTCCAGTCCATTGCATTCCATTCCATTTCATTTGGTTAAATTCCATTCGATTCCATTCCATTCGAATCAATCAAATTGCAATCCATTACATTCGTGTCCGTTGTATTCCAGTTCATTCCATTCCGGATCATTCCATTCGATTTCTTTCTATTCAATTCCATTGCATATTATTGCATTCCATTCGATTCCATTCTATTCATACGGATTCCATTTCAGATCATTTCTTTCGAGGCCATTCTATTCGAGTCCATTACATTTGGGACCATTCCATTCAATGGCATTCCATTTGATGCCATTACATTAGATTCTATGCCTTTTGACTCCACTCCATTCAAGTCCCTTCTATTCCATTCCACTCCATTCCATTCCATTTGATGCAATTCCATTCAATTCTATTCCATTCGTCTCCATTCCATTCCATTCCGTTCCATCTGATTCCATTCCATTCTATTCCTTTCCATTCCATTCCATTCGTTTCCATTCCATTTGAGTCCATTCCACTCAAGTCCATTGCATTCGAGTGAATTCCCTTCCAGTCCATTCCATTCGAGTCCATTCCATTCCATTCCATTCGATATCTTTACATTACACTCCATTCCACTCTATTCCTTTTGATTCCATTCAATTCCATTCCATTCGATTCCATTCCATTTGATTCCATTCCATTCGACTCCATTCCATTCGAGTCCATTCCAATCCATTCCTTTCCATTCGGGTCCCTGCGATTCCAATCCTTTTGATTTCATTTTGTTCCAGTCCATTCCATTCGAGTCCATTCCATTCCATTCCATTTGATATCTTTCCGTTACACTCCATTCCATTCTATTCCTTTCGATTCCATTCAATTCCATTCCATTCGATTCCATCCCATTTGACTCCATCGTATTCGAGTTCATTCCATTCCATTCCATTCCATTCCATTCCATTCGGTTCCAATCCTTTCGATTTCATTTTGTTCCAGTCTATTCCATCCCACTACATTCCATTCGATTCCATTCCATTCGACTCCATTCCATACTATTGCATTCCATTCGATTCCATCCTATTTGAATAAATTCCATTCGAGACCATTCCTTTCAAGTCCATTCCATTCGAGTCCACTACTTTTGTGTCCAATCCATTCCATTCCATTCTATTCAATTCGATGCCATTCCCTTCTATTCTATTCCATTCAAGTCCATTCCGTTGCATTCCATTCTAACCGATTCCATTCCATTCTATTCTTTCCATTCCATTCCATTCCTATCCAGTTCATTCCATTGCATTTGTTTCCATTCCATTCGAATCCATTCCACTTCAGTCCATTCCATTCGAATGCATTCCACGCAAGTCCATTCCATTCGAGTCCATTCCATTCCAGTCAATTCCTTTTGAGTCCATTCCATTCTGTTCTATTCCATTTGATATCTCTCCACTACACTCTCTTGCATTCTATTCCTTTCGATTCCATTATATTCCCTTCCATTTGATTCCATTCCCTTCGATTCCATTCCATTCGGTTCCATTCCATTCGACTCCATTCCATTCGTGTCCGTTGCATTCCATTCTATTCCGTTTCATTCAATTCCAATCCGTTCGATTCCATTTTGTTCCAGTCCACTGAATTCCAGTCCTTTCCATTGTAGTCCATTCCATTCCGTTCCATTCCATTCGATTCCATTCTGCTCGATACCACTACGTTCCATTCCATTGCATTCCATTCTATTCCATTCCATTGTATTCCATTCCATTCCACTTGATTACATTCCATTCGATTCCATTCGATTCGAATCAATTACCTTACAATCCATTACATTTGAGTCTGTTCTATTCCAGTCCATTCCATTCCGGTTCATTCCATTCAATTCCTTTCCTTTCGAATCCATTCCATACTATTGCATTACATTCGATTACATTCTATTCAAATAAATTCCATTCGAGACCATTCCTTTTGAGTCCATTCTATTTGAGCCCATTCCATTCGATTCCATTACTTTTGGTCCATTCCATTCCATTCCATTCCATTCGATGCCATTCCATTTGATTATATTCCATTCGAGTCCATTCCATTGGAGTCCATTCCATTCCATTCCATTCTATTCTAATCCATTTGATGCCATTCCATTCGAATGTTTTCCATTCGACTACATTCCATTCCATTGCATTCCATCCAATTCCATTCCATTCTATTCCTTTCCACTCCATTCCATTCCATTCTTTTCCATTCCATTCCATTCTTTTCCTTTCCATTCTTGTCCATTCCTCTCCAGTCCATTTCATTTGAGTCCATTCCAATCCATTCCATTGCATTCCATTGCATTCGAGTCCATTGCACTCCATTCCATTTGATATGTTTCCATTACACTCCATTCTATTCTATTCCTTTCAATTCATTTCAATTCCATTCCATTCGATATCTTTCCATTACACTCCATTCCATTCTATTCGTTTCGATTCCTTTCAATTCCATTCCATTAGATTCCAATCCATTCGGTTCCATTCCATTCGTCTCCATTCCATTCAAATCCTTTCCATTCCATTCCATGCGATTCCATTCTTTTCGATTCCAATCGGTTCCCTTCCATTTTGTTCCAGTCCATTCCATTCGAGTCTATTCCATTCGATTCCATTCCATTCAATTCCATTCCATTCGAGTCTATTCCATTCGATTCCATTCCATTCAATTCCATTCCATTCGATTCCATTCCACTCGATTTCACTCCATTCCATTCCTTTGCATTCCATTCTGTTGCATTCTACTGCATTCCATTCCATTCCTTTTGAATACATTCCATTCGATTCCTTTCCTTTCAAATCAATTACATTGCAATCCATTACATTCGAGTCCGTTTTATTCCAGACCATTCCATTCCAGTCCATTACATTCGATTCCATTCCATACTATTGCTTTCCATTCGATTCCATTCTTTTCAAATAAATTCCATTTGATACCACTTCTTTCGAGTCCATTCTTTATGAGTCCATTCCTTTGAAGTCCATTACTATTGGGTCCATTCCATTCCATTCCATTGAATTCCCTTCCATTCGATTCTAATCCATTCGATTCCATTCCACTCGAGTTCATTCCATTACAATCCATTCCATTCCATTTGATGCCATACCATTCGATTCTATTCCATTCGACTCCATCTGATTCCATTCCATTCTATTCCTTTCCATTTCATTCCTTTCAATTCCATTCGTTTCCTTTTCATTCCATTCCATTCCATTCCATTCGTTTCCGTTACATTCTAGTCCATTCCACTCCAGTCCATTCCGTTCGAGTCCATTCCATTCCATTTGAGTCCACTCCCTTCCATTTCATTCCATTCAATATCTTTCCATTACACTCCATTCCATTCCATTGGAGTCCACTCCATTCCATTCGATATCTTTCCCTTACACTCCATTCCATTCTATTCCTTTCGATTCCTTTCAATTCCACTCCATTAGAATCCATTCCTTTTGAATACAATCCATTCCATTAAATTCAATTCCTTTTGAATCCAATCCGTTCTTTTCCATTTTGTTCCAGTCCATTCCATTCGAATCCATTCCATTCTGTCCATTCCATTCGATTCAATTCCATTCAATTCCATTCCATTCAATTCCATTCCAGTTGATTCCTCTCCCTTCCATTCCATTGCATTCCATTCTATTCCATTGCAATGCATTCCATTCCATTCCATTTGATTACATTCCATTCGATTCCCTTCCGTTCGAATCAATTACTTTGCAGTCCATTACATTCGAGTCCGTTCTATTCCAGTCCATTCCATTCTGGTCCATTCTGTTCAACTCCATTCTATTCGAGTCCTTTCCATTCCATTCCTTTCCATTCCGTTCGATTAAAAACTGTTCAATTCCATTTTGTTCCTTGTCCATTCCATTCGAGTACATTCCATTGCAGTCCATTCCATTCAATTCTATTCCATTCGATTTCATTCCACTCGATTCCACTGCATTCCATTCCATTGCATTCCATTGTATTCCATTCCATTGCATTCCATTCCATTCCATTTGATTACATTCCATTTGATTCCATTCCATTCGAGTCAATTTCATTGCAATCCTATACATTTAAGTCCATTGTATTCCAGTCCATTCCAATCCCCTACATTCCATTCGATTCCATTCCATTTGTTTCCATTCCATACTATTGCATTCCTTTCGAATCCATTGCATTCGAATAAATTCCATTCGAGACCATTACTTTTGTGTCCATTCAGTTTGAGTCCATTCCATTCGAGTCCATTATATTTGTGTCCATTCCATTCCCTTCCATTCCATTCCATTTGATGCCATTCCATTAGATTCTATTCCATTCAAGACCATTCCACTCCAGTCCATTCCATTCAAGTTCATTCCATTCCATTCCAGTCCAATCCATTCGTGTCCATTCCATTCTGTTACTTTCCATTCGATATATTTCCATTACAGTTCATTCCATTGTATTCCTTTTGATTCCTTTCAATTCCATTCCATTTGATTCCATTACATTCTCTTCCTTTCCATTCGATTCCATTCCATTCGACTCCATTCCATTCCATTCCATTCCATTCCAATCCACTCCTTTCCACTCGGTTCCATTCGATTCCAATCCATTTGATTCCATTTTGTTCCAGTCCATTCCATTCGAGTCCATTCCATTCCGTTCCATTTGATTTCCTTCCGTTACACTCCATTCCATTCTATTCCTTTTGATTCCATTCAATTCCATTCTGCTCGTTTCCATTACATCCGATTCCATTCCGTTCGACTCCATTCCATTCCAGTCCATTCAATTCCATTCCGTGCCATTCAATTCCATTTTGTCCAGTCCATTCCATCCCGCTACATTCCATTCGATTCCATTCCAATCAATTCCGTTCTGTACTATTGCATTCCACTCGATTCCATTCTATTCGAATAAATTCCATTCGAGACCATTCCATTAGAGTCCATTCCATTCGAGTCCATTCCATTTGAGTCCATTCCATTCGATTCCATTCCATTCAATTCCTTTCCACTCGATTCCACTCTGTTCCATTCCATTGCATTCCGTTCTATTCCATTACATTGCATTCTATTCCATTCCATTCCATTGCATTCCATTCCATTCCATTTGATTACATTCCATTCGATTCCATTCCATTCGAATCAATTACATTGCAATCCATTACATTGGAGTACGTTCTATTCCACTCCATTCCATTCCGGTCCATTCCATTCAATTCCAATCCATTCAATACCATTCCATTCTATTGAATTCCATTCAATACCAATCTATTCGAATAAATTTCATTTGAGACCATTCCATACTATTGAATTCCATTCAATACCAATCTATTCGAATAAATTTCATTCGAGACCATTCCTTTCGAATCCATTCTATTTGAGTCCCTTTTATTCGACTCCATTACGTTAGGGTCCATTCCATTCCATTCGATGCCATTTCATTCCATTGTATTCCATTCGTGTCCATTCCATTAGAGTCCATTCCATTCCATTCAATTCCATTTAATGCCACTCCATTTGATTCTATTCCATTTGACTCCATTCCATTCCATTCTGTTCCTTTCCACTCGATTCCATTCCTGTCAATTCCACTCTGTTCTGTTCCATTCCATTGCATTCCATTCTATTCCATTCCATTCCATTCCATTTGATTACATTCCGTTTGATTACATTCCATTCGAATCAATTACATTGCAATCCATTACTTTCGAGTCCGTTCTATTCCAGTCCATTCCATTCCGGTACATTCCATTCGATTCCATTCCGTTTGATTCCATACCATAATATTGCAATCCATTCGATTCCATTCTACTCGAATAAATTCAATTCGATACCATTCCTTTAGAGTCCATTCTATTTGAGTCCATTCCATTCACGTCCATTACATTTGGGTCCATTCCATTCCATACCACTCGAAGCCATTCCATTTGATTCTATTCCTTTCAAGTCCATTCCATTCGAATCCATTCCATTCCATGCCATTTGATGCCATTCCATTTGATTCTATTACATTCGACTCCATTTCATTCCATTCCGTTCCATCCGATTCCATTCCATTCTATTCCTTTCCATTCCATACCATTCCATTCCATTCCAATCCATTCGGGTCCATTCCACTCCAGTCCATTCCATTTGAGTCTATTCCATTCCAGTCCATTCCATTCCATTCCATTGGATATCTTTCCATTACACTCCATTCCATTCTATGCCTTTTGATTCCATTCCTTTTTATTCCATTCCATTCGTTTCCATTCCAATCTACTCCATTCTATTTGAGTCCATTCCATTCCATTAAATTCTATTCTTTTTCATTCGATTCCATTACGTTCGATTCCATTGTGTTCCAGTCCATTCCATTCATGTCCATTGCATTCCAGTCCATACCATTCAATTCCATTCCATTCATTTCCATTCCACTCGATTCCACTCCATTCCATTCCATTGCACTCAATTCTATACCATTCCATTGCATTTGATTACATTCCATTTGATTCCAATCCATTCGAAATTATTACTTTGCAATCCATTATATTCGAGTCCTTTCTATTCCAGTCCATTCCAATCCGGTCCATTCCATTCGATTGCATTATGTACTTTTGCATTCCATGGAATTCTATTCTATTCGCATAAATTCCATTCGAGACCGTTCCCTTCTTATCCATTCTATTTGAGTCCATTCCATTCAAGTCCATTACATTTGGGTCAATTCCATTTCATTCCATTCCATTTCATTCCATTCAATTCCATTCCATTCGATTCTATTCCATTCAAATCCATTCCATTCCATTCCATTCCATTCCATTTGATGCCATTCCATTCGATTCTATTCCATTCGACTCTATTCCACTCCATTCCATTCCATCCGTTTCCATTCCATTCTATTTATTTGCATTCCATTGCATTCCATTCCATTGCATTCCATTCCATTCCATTCCATTCCATTTGTTTCCATTCCATTCGAGTCCATTCCACTCCAGTCCGCTCCATTCGAGTCCATTCCATTCTAGTCCATTCCATTTGACTCCATTCTATTCCATTCGATATCTTTCCACTGCTCTCCATTCCATTCTATTCCTTTCGATTCCATTCAATTCCAATTCATTCGATTCCATTCCATTCAATTCCAATTCATTCGACTCCATTCCATTCGATTTGATTCCATTCCATTCCATTCCATTACGTTCCATTCGATTCCAATCTGTTCGATTCCATTTTTTCCAATCCATTCCATTCGAGTCATTCCATTCCAGTCCATTCCATTCGATTCCATTCCATTCAATACCATTCCACTCAATTCCACTGCGTTCCATGCCATTTCATTCCATTCTATTCCATTCCATTGCATACCATTCCATTCCATTTGATTACATTTCATTCTGTTCCAGTCCATTCAAATCAAATTCATTGCAATCCATTACGTTAGAGTCCGTTCTATTACAGTACGTTGCATTCCTATCCATTCCATGCTATTCTATTCCTTTCATTTCCATTCCACACTATTGCATTCCATTTGATTCCATTCTATTCGAATAAACTGCATTCGAGACCATTGCTTTCGAGTCCATTCTATCTGAGTCCATTCCATTCGAGTCCCTTACCTTTGGGTCCATTCCATTCCATTCCATTCCATTCCATTCCATTCCATTCCATTCCATTGTGTTCAATTCCATTCAATTCGATGCCATTCCATTCGATTTTATTCCATTCGTGTCCATTCCATTCCATTCCATTCCATTCGTTTCCATTCCATTCGAGTACATTCCACTCCACTCCGTTCCACTCGAGTCCATTCCATTCCAGTCCATTCCATTCGAGTACATTCCTTTCCTTTCCATTCCATTGTATATGTTTCCATTAATCTCCTTTCCATTATATTACTTTCGATTCCATTCAATTCCATTCCATTCGATTACATTCCATTTGGTTCCATTCCATTCGACTCCATTCCATTTGAGTCTATTCCATTCCATTCCATTCCGTTCTGTTCGATTCAAATCCGTTCGATTACATTTTGTTCCAGTCCATTCCATTCGACTCCATTCCATTCCAGTCCATTCCATTTGATTACATTCCATTCGATTCCATTCCACTCGATTCCACTCCGTTCCATTCCATTGCATTCCTTTCTATTCCATTCCATTGCATACCATTCCATTCTATGTGTTTATATTCCATTCAATTCCATTCCATTCAAATCAATTACATTTCAATCCATTACATTCGAGTCCGTTCTATTCCAGTCCATTCCATTCCTGTCCATTCCATTCGATTCTATTCCATTCTATTCCACTCCATACTATTGCATTCCATACGATTCCATTCTATTCTACTAAATTACTTTCGAGAAAGTTGCTTTTGAGTGCATTCTATTTGAGTCCATTCCACTCGAGTCCATTACATTTGAGTTCGTTCCATGCCATTCAATTCCATTACATTCTATTCCATTCTGGATCATTCCATTGGAGTCTGTTGCATTGCATTCCAATCCATTCGATGTCATTGCATTCTATTCAATTCCATTCTAGTCTATTCCATTTGATTCCATTCCATTCCATTCCATTCAACGTCATTCCATTCGATTCTCTTCTATTTGACTCCATTCCATTCCATCCGATTCCATTCCATTGTATTAATTTCCATTCTATTCCAATTATTTGTTTGCATTCCATTTGAGTCCATTCCACTCCAGTCAATTCCATTCGAGTCCATTCCATTCCAGTCCATTCCATTCGAGTCCATTCCCTTCCATTCTTTTCGATGTCTTTCCATTACACTCCAATTCATTCTATGTTTTGATTCCATTCAATTCCGTTTTATTTGATTCCATTTCCTTCGATTCCATTCCATTCGACTCCATTCCAATCGAGTCCATTCCATTCCATTCCATTCTGTTCCATTCCATTCTGTTCCGTTTGATTCCAATCTGTTTGATTCCATTTTGTTCCAGTCCATTCCATTCGTATCTATTCCATTCCATTCCATTCCACTCCATTCGATTCCATTCCATTCGATTCCATTCCTTTCAATTCCATTCCACTCGATTCCACTCCATTCAATTCCATTGCGTTAGATTCTATCCATTCCAATGCATTCCATTCCATACCTTTTGTTTAGATTCCATTCGATTCCATTCCATTCGAATCAATTACATTGTCATCCATTACATTCGAGTCCGTTCTATTCCAGTCCATTCCATTCCAGTCCATTTCATTCGATTCCATCACGTTCGATTCCATTCCATACTACTGCATTCCTTTTGTTTCCATTCTATTTGAATAAATTCCATTCGAGACCTTTCGTTTTGAGTCCATTCTATTTGAGTTCATTCCATTCGAGTCCATTACATTTGGGTCCAGTTCATTCCATTCCATTCCATTCCATTCCATTCCATTCCATTCCATTCCATTCCATTCAATGCCATTCCATTCTTTTCTATTCCATTCGAGTCCATTCCATTAGAATCCATTCCATTCCATTCCATTCCAATCCATTCGATGCCATTCCGTTCGACTCTATTTTGTTCGACTTCATTTGATTCCATTCCGTTCTAACCGATTCCATTCCATTCTATTCCTTTCCATTCCATTCCTTTCCTTTCGTTTCCATTATATTCGAGTCCATTCCACTCCACTCCATTCCATTCGAGTCCATTCCATTCCAGTTGATTCCATTTGAGTCCATTCCATTTCATATATTTCCATTACACTCCATTCCATTATATTCCTTTCAATTCCATTCAATTCCATTCCATTTGGTTCCATTCCATTCGACTCCATTCCTTTCGAGTCCATTCCATTTCATCCCATTCCTTTCTGTTACGTTCGATTCCAATCTGTTCAATTACATTTTGTTCCTTTCCATTCCCTTCGAGTCCATTCCATTCCAGTCCATTCCATTCGATTCCGTTCCATTCAATTCCATTCCATTCGATTCCATTACACTCGATTCCACTCCGTTCCATTCCATTGCATACCTTTCCCTTCCATTTGATTACATTCCTTTCATTTCCATTCCATTCAAATCAATTACATTGCAATCCATTACATTCGAGTGCATTCTATTCCAGTCCTTTCCATTCTATTCTGTTCCATTCGATTCCATTCCATACTATTGCATTCCACACAGTTCCATTCTGTTCGAATAAATTCCATTCAAGACCATTCAGTTCGAGTCCATTATATTTGACTCCTTTCCGTTAGAGTCCTTTACATTTGGGTCCATTCCATTCCATTCCATTCCATTCCATTCCATTCCATTCTATGCCATTCCATTCTATTCTATTCCATTCGAGTCATTCCATTCGATTCCATTTGATTCCATTCGATGCCATTCCATTCGATTCTATTCCAATCGACTCCATTCCATTGCACTCCATTCCAACCAATTCCATTCCATTCAATTCTATTCCAATCGACTACATTCCATTGCATTCCGTTCCAACCGATTCCATTCCATTCGATTCCATTTGATTCCATTCAATGCCATTCCATTCGATTCTATTCCAATCGACTCCATTCCATTGCATTCCATTCCAACCGATTCCATTCCATTCTGTTCCTTTCCATTCCATTCCATTCTTTTCCATTCCATTCGAGTCCATTCCACTCCGGTCCATTCCATTCGAGTCCGTTCCATTCGTGTCCATTCAATTCCATTCCATGTGATATCTTTCCATTACACTCCATTGCATTCTTTTCCTTTCGATTCCCTTCAATTCCATTCAATTCGCCTCCATTCCATTTGATTCCTTTTCATTCGACTCCATTCAATTCGAGTCCATTCCATTCCATTCCATTCTATTCCGTTCCATTTGATTCCAATCCGTTCGATTCCGTTTTGTTCCAGTCCATTCCATTCGAGTCCATTCCATTCCAGTCCATTCCATTCAATTCCATTCCATTCTATTCCATTCCACTCTATTCCACTCTGTTCCATTCCTTTGCATTTCATACTATTCCATTCCATTGCATTGCATTCCATTCCTTTTGATTACATTCCATTCGATTCCATTCCATTCGAATCAATTACTTTGCAATCCATTATTTTCGAGTCTGTTCTATTCCAGTCCATTCCATTCCAGTCCATTCCATTTGATTCCATTCCATTCGATTGCATTCCATACTATTGCATTCCATTCGATTCCATTCTATTTCAATAAATTCCATTCGAGAGCATTCCTTTAGAGTCCATTCTATTTGAGTCCATTCCATTCGAGTCCATTACATTTGGTTCCATTTCATTCCATTCCATTCGATGCCATTCCATTCAATTCTATTCCATTTGAGTCCATTCTACTCGAGTCCATTCCATTCCATTCCTTTCCCTTTGATGCCATTCCATTCGACTCTATTCCTTTCGACTCCATTCCATTCCATTCCAACAGATTCCATTCCATTCTCTTCCTTTCCGTTTCATTCCATTCCATTCCATTCGTTTCCATTACATTTGAGTCCATTCCTCTCTAGTCCATTTCATTTGAGTCCATTCCTTTCCTGTCCATTCCATTCGAGTCCATTGCATTTCATTTGATATCTTTCCATTACACTCTATTCCATTCTATTTTTTTAGTTACCATTCAATTCCATTGCATTCGATTCCATTCCATTCAATTCCATTCCATTCGATTCCATTCTATTCAATTCCATTCCACTCGATTCCACTCCATTCCATTCCATTGCATTCCATTCTATTCCATTCCATTGTATACCATTCCTTTCCATTTGAGTACCTTCCACTCGATTCCATTGCATTCGAATCAATTACTTTGCAATCCATTATATTTGAGTCCATTCTATTCCATTGCATTGCATTCCGGTCCATTGCATTCTATTCAATTCCTTTCAATTCCATTCCATACTATTGCATTCCATGCGATTCCATTCTATTCGAATAAATTCCATTCGAGACCATTCGTTTCTTGTCCATTCTATTTGTGTCAATTCCATTCGAGACCATTACATTTGGATGAATTCCATTTCATTCCATTACATTTGATTCCATTCCATTCGATTCTATTTCATTTGAGTCCAATCCATTTGAATCCATTCCATTCCATTCCATTTGATGCCATTCCATTCGATTCTATTCCATTCGACTTCATTCCACTCCATTCCGTTCCATCCGATTTCCTTCCATTGTATTCTTTCCATTCCATTCTTTCCATTCCATTCGAGCCCATTCCACTACAGTCCATTCTATTCGAGTCCATTCCACTCCAGTCAATTCCATTTGAGTCAATTCCATTCGAGTCCATTCCATTCCATAGCATTCCTTTGCACTCCATTCCATTCTATTCCTTTCGATGCCATTGAATTCCATTTCATTCGATTCAATTCTGTTCGATTCCATTCCTTTTGACTCCATTCCTTTCGAGTCCATTCTATTCCATTCCATTCCATTCCGTTCGATTCCAATCCATTCGATTCCACTTTGTTTCAGTCCATTCCATTCGAGTCCATTCCATTCGAGTCAATTCCATTCCAGTCCATTCCATTCAATTCCATTCCATTCAGTTCCATTCCCTCAATTCGACAGCATTCCATTCCATTTCATACCATTCTATTCCATTCCGTTGCATACCATTACCTTCCACTTGATTACTTTCCATTCCATTCAAATCAAATACATTGTAATCCTTTTCATTCGAGTCCATTCTATTCCAGTACATTCCATTCCTTTCCATTCCATTCGATTCTATTCCATTCAATTCCATTCCATACTATTGCATTCCATTCGATTCCATTCTATTCTAATAAATGCCATTTGAGACCATTCCTTTCGGGTCCATTCTATTTGAGTCCATTCCATTCAAGTCCATTACATTTGGGTCCATTGAATTCCATTCCATTCCGTTCCATTCCATTCAATTCGATGCCATTCCATTCTATTCTATTCCATTCGTGTCCATTCCATTCGATTCCATTCGATTGCATTCAATGTCATTCCATTCGATTCTATTCCATTCGACTCCTTTCCAGTCCATTCTGTTCCTTCTGATTCCATTCCTTTCTATTCCTTTCCATTCCATTTCATTCCATTCGTTTCCATTCCATTCGAGTATATTCCAATTCAGTCCATTCCATTCAAGTGCATTCCATTCCAGTCCATTCCATTCGACTCTATTCCATTAGATATCTTTCCATTACACTCCATTAGATTCTATTCCTTTCGACTCCATTCAATTCCATTCCATTCTATTCCATTCCATTCGATTCCTTTCCAATAGACCCTATTCCATTTGAGTGCATTCCATTCCATTCCATTCCATTCCGTTCCATTTGATTCCAATCCGTTCGATTCCATTTTCTTCCAGTCTATTCCATTCGAGTCCATTCCATTCCAGTCCATTCCATTGGAGTCCAATCCATTCCATTCTATTCAATTCAATGTCAATCCATTCTATTTTATTCTATTTGAATCCATTCAATTCGAGTCCATTCCATTCCACTCCATTCCATTCCAGTCTATTCGATGCCATTCCATTCTATTCTATTCCATTTGACTTCATTTCTTTCCATTCCATTCCATCCGATTCCATTCAATTCTATTCCTTTCCATTCCGTTGCATTCCATTACATTCGTTTCATACCATTTGAGTCCATTCCACTCCATTCTATTCCATTCGAGTCCATTCCATTCCAGTCCATTCTATTCGAGTCCATTCCATTGCATTCCATTGCATTCCATTCCATTCCATTCGATATCTTACCATTACCCTCCAATTCATTCTATTCCTTTTGATTCCATTCAATTCCGTTCTATTCAATTCCATTCCATTCTATTCCATTCCATTCCACTCCATTCTAATCAATTCCATTCCATTCCGTTCCGTTCGATTCCAATCTACCCGATTCCATTTTCTTCCAGTCTAATCCATTCGAGTCCATTCCATTGCAGCCCTATTTACTCCATTCCATTCTATTCGATTCTATTCCATTCGATTCCATTCCACTCGATTCCACTCCATTCCATTCCATTGCATTCCATTCTATTCTATTTCATTTCTTTCCATTCCATTCCATTGGATTACATTCCATTCGATTCCATTGCATTCGAATCAATTACATTACAATCCATTATATTTGAGTCCGTTCTATTCCAGTCCATTCAATTCCGGTCCATGCCATTCGATTCCATTCCATTCGATTCCATTCCATACTTTTAGATTCCATTTGATTCCATTCTACTTGAATAAATTACATTCGAGACCATTACTTTTGAGTCCATTCTATTTGAGTCCATTCCATTCGAGTCCATTACTTTTGGGTCCAATCCATTCCATTCCATTCTATTCAATTTGATGCCATTCCCTTCTATTCTATTCCATTCGAGTCCATTCCATTCAATTCCATTCCATTCCAATCTCTTCGATGCCACTCCATTCGATTCTATTCCATTCAACTCCAATCCATTCCATTCCATTCCATCCGTTTCCATTCCATTTTATTCCTTTCCATTCCATTCCATTCGTTTCCATTCCATTCGAATCCATTCCACTCCAGTCTATTCCACTCTAGTCCATTCCATTCCAGTCCATTCCATTCGAGTCCATTCCTTTCCAGTCCATTCGATATCTTTCCATGACACTCCATTCCATTCTATTCCTTTCGATTCTATTCAATTCCATTCCATTCGATTCCTTTCCATTCGACTACATTCATTTTGATTCCATTCCATTCGACTGCATTCCATTTGATTCCATTCCATTCCAGTCCATTCCAGTCGATTCCATTCCATTCGATTCCATTCCATTCGTTTCCATTCCACTCGATTCCACTCCGTTCCATTCCATTGCATTCCTTTCAATTCCATTTCATTGGATACCATTAGATTCCATTTGATTACATTCCATTCGTTTCCATTCCATTCAAATCACTTTGCAATCCATTACACTCGAGTCCATTCTATTCCAGTCCATTCCATTCCTGTCCATTCCATTCAATTCTATTCCATTCTATTCCATTCCATACTATTGCATTCCATATGATTTGATTCTATTCGAATAAATTCCATTCGAGAACATTCCTTTCAAGTCCATTCTATTTGAGTCCATTCCGTTCCAGTCCATTACATTTTTGTCCATTCCATTCCATGCCATTTCATTCCATTTGATTCAATTCCATTGCATTCAAATCTATTCCATTCGAGTCCATTCCATTTGATTACATTCTATTTGACTCCATTCCATTCGACTCCATTCCATTCGATTCCATTCTATTTGACCCCATTCCATTCGAGTCCATGCCATTCCATTCCATTCTATTCTGCTCTGTTCGATTCCAATCCGTTCAATTACATTTTGTTCCAGTTCATTCCATTCGAGTCCATTCCATTCCAGTCCATTCCATTGGATTCCATTCAGTACGAATCCATTGCATTCGAGACCTTTCCATTCCGTTCCATTCCTTTCCGTTCAGTTTGATTCCAATCCGTTCGATTCCGTTTTGTTCCAGTCAATTCCATGCGTCTCCATTCCATTCGATTCCGTTGCATTCAATTCCGTTCCGTTTGATTGTATTCCACTAGATTCCACTCCATTCCATTCCATTCTATTCTATTCTATTCTATTCTATTCCATTCCATTCCCTTCCATTCGATGCCAAGCAATACGAATACATTCCATTCGAGTCCACTCCTTTCCATTCCATTCCATTCCATTCCACTCGATGCCATTCCATTCGATTCTATTCCATTCAACGCCATTCCGTTTCATTCTATTCCATTACATTCCATCTGATTCCATTCCATTCTATTCCTTTCCATTCCATTCCATTCGTTTCCATTCATTCGGGTCCATTCTACTCCAGTCCATTCCATTTGAGTCCTTTGCTTTCCATTCCATTCCATTCGAGTCCATTCCATTCCATTCCATTTGTTATCTTTCCATAACACTCCCTTCCATTATATTCCTTTCGATTCCAATCAATTCCAAACCATTTGATTCAATTCCATTCGATTCCGTTACATTCGACTCCATTCCATTCGAGTCCATTCCATTCCATTCCATTCCGTTCCTTTCGATTCCAATCCGTTCCATTCCATTTTGTTCCAGTCCATTCCATTGGAGTCCATTGCATTGCAGACCATTGCATTTGATTCCATTCCACTCAGTTCCATTCTATTCCATTCCACTCAGTTGCATTCTATTCCATTCCGTTGCATTCCATTCTATTCCATTCTATTTCATTCATTCATATTTCATTTTCTTACATTCCATTCAATTCCATTCCATTCGAATCAATTACATTGCAATCCATTACATTCGAATCCGTTCTATTCCATCCCATTCCATTCCGGTCCTTTCCATTGGATTCCATTCCATTCGAATCAATTAGATTGCAATCCATTACATTCGAGTCCGTTTTATTCCAGTCCATTCCATTCTGGACTTTTCCGTTTGATTCCATTACATTCGATTCCATTCCATACTATTGCATTCCATTTGATTCCATTCTATTCGATTAAATTCCCTTCGAGACCTTTTCTTTCGATTCCGTTCTATTTGAATCCATTCCATTTGAGTCCATTACATTTGGGTACATTCCATTCCATTCCATTCCATTCCATTCCATTCCATTCCATCCCATTCCATTGCATTCCATTCCATTTGATGTCATTCCATTCAATTCTATTCCATTCGTGTCCATTCCATTCGAGTCCATTCCATTCCATTCCATTCCAATCCGTCTGATGCCATTCCTTTCGATTCTATTCCATTCGACTCCATTCCATTCCAATCTGTTTCATCCGATTCCATTCCATTCTATTCCTTTCCGTTGCATTCCATTCCATTCCATTCCATTCCATTCCATTCCATACCACTTATTTCCATTCCATACGAGTCCATTCCAGTCCAGTCCATTCTATTGGAGTCAATTCCACTACAGCCAATTCCATTGAAGTCCATTCCATTCCAGTCCATTCCATTCGTGTCCATTCCATTCCATTCCACTCCATTCCATTCCATTCGATTTCTTTCCTTTACACTCCATTCCATTCTAGTACTTTCGATTCCGTTCAATTCTATTTCATTCGATTCCATTCCTTTAGATTCCATTCCAATTGACTCCATTCCATTCGATTCCATTCAAATTAATTACATTGCCATGCATTACATTCGAGTCTGTTCTATTCCAGTCCATTCCATTCCGGTCCATTCCATTTGATTCCATTGTATTCGATTCCATTCCATACAATTGTATTCCATTCGATTCCATTCCATTGGAATAAATTCCATTCGATACCATTTCTTTTTAATCCATTCTATTTGAGTCCATTCCATTCGAGTCCACTACGTTTGGGTCCATTCCATGCGAGTCCATTCCATTCCATTCTATTCCATTCTAGACCATTCCTATCAAGGCCATTCCAATCCATTCCAATCCATTCAATGCCATTCCATTCTATTCTATTCCTTCAAGTCCATTCAATTTGACTCCATTCCATCCGATTACATTTCATTCTATTCCTTTCCATTTCATTCCATTCCATTATATTCGTTTCCATTCCATTCGAGTCCATTCTACTCCAGACCCTACCATTCGAGTCCATTCCATTTTAGTCTGTTCCATTCGAGTCCATTCCATTCCATTCCATTACATTCAATATCTTTGCATTACACTAAAATTTGTTCTATTCTTTCGATTCCTTTCAATTCCGTTCTATTTGATTCCATTCCATTTGATTCCATTCCATTTGACTGCATTCCAATCGAGTCCATTCCATTCCATTCCATTGCGTTCCTTTCGATTCCAACCTGTTCGATTCCATTTTATTCCAATCCATTCCATTTGAGTGCATTCCATTCCAGTCCATTCCATTCGATTCCATTCCATTCAATTCCATTCCATTCGATTCCATTCCACTCGATTCCACTCCGTTCCATTCCATTGCATTCCATTCTATTCCTTTCCATTGCATTCCTTTCCATTCCATTTGATTACATTCCATTCGATTCCATTCCATTCGAATCAATTACATTGCAATCCACTGCATTCGACTCTGTTCTATTCCAGTCCATTCAATTCTGGTCAATTCCTTTTGATTCCATTCCATTCAATTCCATTCAATACTATTGCATTCCATTTGATTCCATTCTATTAGAATAAATTCCATATGAGACCATTCCTTTCAAGTCCATTGTATTTGAGTCCATTCCATTCGAGTCCATTACATTTGGGTCTATTCCCTTCTATTCAATTACATTGCATTCCATTCTATTCGATGCCATTCCATTCTATAATATTCCATTTGAGTCCATTCCATTCGATTCCATTCCATTCCATTCCATTCCAATCCATTCAATGCCATTCCTTTCATTTGTATTCCATTTGACTCCATTCCATTCCATTTCATTCCATCCGAATCTATTCCATTCTACTCCTTTCCATTCCAGTCCATTCCATTCATTTTCGTTCCATTAGAGTCCATTCCACTCCAGTCCATTCCATTCGAGTCCATTCCATTCCAGTCTATTCCATTCGAGTCCATTCCATTCCATTCCATTCCATTCCATTCCATTCCATTCAATATCTTTCTTTTGTACTCCATTCCATTCTATTCCTTTCCATTCCATTCAATTCCATTCCATTCGTTTCCATTCCATTCGGTTCCATTCCATTCAACTCCATTCCATTCCAGTGCCTTCCATTGCATTCCATTGCATTCTGTTCCATTCGATTCCAATCTGTTCGATTACATTTTGTTCCAGTCCATTCCATGCGAGTCCATTCCATTCCAGTCCATTCCATACCTTTCCATTCCATTTGATTACATTCCATTCATTTCCATTCCTTTCATATCAATTACATTGCAATCCAATACATTCGAGTCTGTTGTATTCTAGTCCATTCCCTTCCTATACATTCCAGTCGTTTCTATTCCTTTTGATTTCATTCCATGCTATTGCATACCACACGAATCCATTCTATTTGAATAAATTCCATTCGAGACCATTCCTTTCGAGTCCATTCTACTTGAGTCCATTCCGTTCGAGTCCATTACTTTTGGGTCCATTAAATTCCATTCCATTCCATTCCATTCAATGTCATACCATTCGATTCTATTCCATTCGAGTCCATTCCATTCAATTCCATTCCATTCCATTCGAGGTCATTCCACTAGATTCTGTTTATATCGACTCCATTCCATTCCATTCCGTTCCATCCAATTCCATTCCATTCTATTCCTTTCCATTCCATTCGTTTCCATTCCATTCGAGTCCATTCCACTCCGGTCCATTACATTCGAGTCTATTAAATTTGAGTCCATTTCATTCCATTCCATTCGATATCTTTCCATTACACTTCATTCTATTCTATTTCTTTTGATTCCATTCAATTCCATTCCATTCCACTCCAATGCATTCGATTCCATTCCATTTGACTCCATTCCCTTCGTGTCCATTCCATTCCATTCCATTCTATTCGGTTCCATTCGATTCCAATCATTTCAATTCCATTTTGTTCCAGTCCATTCCATTCGAGTCCATTCCATTCCAGTCCATTGCATTCGAATCCATTCCATTCTATTCCATTCCACTCGATTCCACTCCATTCAATTGTTTTGTATTTCAATCTATTCCATTCCATTGCATTCCATTCCATTCCTTTTTGATTCCATTCCATTTGATTCCATTCCATTGAAAACAATCACTTTGCAGTCGATTACATTCGAGTCCATTCTATTCCAGTCCATTTCATTCCGGTCCATTCCATTCGATTCCATTCCATTCTATACTATTGAATTCCTTTCAATTACATTCTATTTGAATAAATTCCATTCGTTACCATTCCTTTCGAGTCCATTCTATTTGAGTCCATTCCATTCGAGTCCATTACATTTGTGTCCACTCGTTTCCATTCCATTCGATGCCATTCCATTCCATTCCTTTGATGCCTTTCCTTTTGACTCTATTCCATTCGACTCCATTCCATTCCATCCGTTCCATCAGATTCCATTCCATTCTATTCCTTTACATTCCATTCGATTCCATTACATTCGGGTCCATTCCACTCCACTCCATTCCATTCGAGTCCATTCATTTCCAGTCCATTCCATTCGAGTCCATTCCATTCCATTCCGTTTCATTCTATATCTTTCCATTACAGTCAATTCCATTCTATTCCTTTAGATTCCGTACAATTCCATTGCATTCAATTCCATTCCATTCGATTCCATTCCATTTGATTCCATTTGATTCAATTCCAGTCCACTCGATTCCACTCCTTTCAAATACATTGCATTCCATTCTATTCCATTCCATTGCATACCATTCCTTTCCATTTGAATACATTCCATTCGATTCCATTCCATTCCAATCAATTACTTTGCAATCAATAATATTTGAGTCTGCTCTATTCCAGTCCACTCCATTCCGGTCCATCCAATTTGATTCCATTCCATTCGATTCCATTCCATGCTATTGCATTCCATTTGATTCCATTCTATTTGAATAAATTCCATTCGAGACCATTGCTTTCTTCTTCATTCTGCTTGAGTCCATTCCATTCAAGTCCTTTACATTTGGATCTATTCCATTCCATTCCATTCCATTCCACTCCATTCCATTCCATTCCATATGATGCCATTCCATTAGATTCTATTCCATTCGAGTCCATTCCATTCGAATCCATTCCATTCCATTCCATTCCATTCCATTCCATTCCATTCCATTCCATTCCATTCCATTCCATTTGATGCCATTCCATTCAATTCTATTCCATTTGACTCCATTCCACTCCATTTCATTAAATCTGATTCCATTCCTTTCTATTCCTTTGCATTCCATTCCATTCCATTTGTTTCTATTCCATTCGAGTCCATTCCACTCCTGTCTGTTCCATTCGAGTGCATTCCACTCCAGGCCATTCCATTCGAGTCCATTCCATTCCAGTCCATTCCACTCGAGTCCATTCCTTTCCATTCCATTTCATTTGCTATCTTTCCATTACACTCCATTCCATTCTATTCCTTTCAAGTCCATTCAATTCCATTTCATCTGATTCCATTCCTTTAGATTCCATTCCATTCCAGGGCATTCCATTCCGTTCCGTTCGATTCCAATCCTTCGATTCCATTTTGTTCCAATCCATTCCATTCGAGTCCCTTCCATTCCAGTCGATTGCATTCAATTCCATTCCATTCTATTCCCTTCCACTCGATTCTACTGCGTTCCTTTCCATTGCATTGCATTCTATTCCATTCCATTGCATTCCATTCCGTTCCATTTTAATATATTCCATTTGATTCCATTCCATTCGAATCAATTACTTTGTAATCCATTATATTCGAGTCCATTTTATTCCAGTCCATTCAATTCCGGTACATTCCATTCAATTACATTACATTCGATTCTATTCCATAATATTGCATTCCATTCGATTCCATTCTATACGAATATTTCCGTTTGAAACCATTCCTTTCGAGTCCATTCAATTTGATTCCATTTCATTCGAGTCCATTGCATTTGGGTCCATTGCATTCCATTCCATTCGATTCCATTCGATGCCATTCCATTCTATTCTATTCCACTCGAGTCCATTCCATTCGAGTCCATTCCATTCCATTTGATTACATTCCATTCGATGCCATTCCGTTCGATTCAATTCCAATCGACTCCATGCCATTCCATTTTTTCCATCTGATTCCATTCCATTCTACTCCTTTCCATTCCATTACATTCCATTCGTTCCCTTTCCATTCGAGTCCATTTGACTCCAGTCCATTCCATTCGAGTCCATTCCATTCCTGTCCCTTCCATTCGAGTCCATTCCATTCCTTTGCATTCCATTCGATATGTTTCTATTCCACCCCATTCCATTCTATTCATTTTGATTCCATTCACTTGCATTCCATTCGATTCCATTCCATTCGGTTCCATTGTACTCGACTCCATTGCATTCGAGTCCATTCCTATCCATTCCATTCCATTTCATTCCATTCGATTACAATCCGTTCTATTCCATTTTATTCCTGTCTATTCCATTCGAGTCCATTCCATTCTAGTCTATTCCACTCGAGTCCATTCCATTCCAGTCCATTCCATTTGAATCCATTCCATTCAATTCCATTCCAATCCATTCCATTCCACTCGATTCCACTCCGTTCCATTCCATTGCATTCCATTTTATTCCATTCCATTGCATTCCATACCATTCCATTTGATTACGCTCCATTCGATTTCATTCCATTCGAATCTATTACATTGCATTCTTTTACATTCGAGTCCTTTCTTTTCCTGTCCATTCCATTCCGGTCCATTCCATTCGATTCCATTCCATACTACTGCATTCCATTCGATTCCATTCTAGTCGAATAAATTCCATTCGAGTCCATTCCTTTTGAGTCCATTCTATTTGGGTCCATTCCATTCGAGTCCACTACATTTGGGTCCATTCCATTCCATTCCATGCCATTGCATTTGATTCTATTCCATTCTAGTCCATTCCATTCAAGTCCACTCCATTCCATACCATTCCATTCGATGTCATTCCATTTGATTGTATTCCATTCGACTCCATTCCACTCCATCCCATTCCGTTCCATCCAATTCCATTCCATTCTATTCCTTTCCATTCCATTCCATTCCATTCGTTTCCATTCATTCGTGTCCATTCCTCTCCAGTCCATTTCATTCGAGTCTGTTCCATTCTAGTCTATTCCATTCGAGTCCATTCCATTCCATTCCATTCCATTCCATTCCATTCCATTCCATACATTTCCTTTTCGCTCCATTCCATTCTATTTATTTCTATTCCAATCAATTCCATTCCATTTGATTCCATTCCATTTGACTCCATTCCATTCAAGTTCATTCCATTCCATTCCGTTCCTTTCGTTTCCAATCCGTTCCATTCCATTTTGTCCTAGTCCATTCCATTCGAGTCCGTTCCATTCTGGTCCATTCCATTCGATTCCATTCAATTTGATTCCATTCCACTCAATTCCAATCCTTTCCATTCCATTGCATTCCATTCTATTCCATTCCATTGCATTCCATTCCATTCCATTTGAATACATTCCATTCAATTCCATTCCATTCGAATCAATTACATTGCAAACCATTTCATTCGAGTCCGTTCTATTCCAGTCCATTCCATTCTGGTCCATTCCATTCGATTCCATTCCTTTAGATTCCATTCCATTCGAATCAATATCATTGCAATCCGTTACAATCTATTGCGTTTTATTCCAATCCATTCCATTCCGTTCCATTCCACTCGATTCCATTCCATTCGATTCCTTTCCATACTATTGCATTCCATTCGATTCCATTCTATTCAAATAAGTTCCATTCGACACCATTTCTTCAGAGTCCATTCCATTTGGGTCCATTACATTTGAGTCCAATACATTTGGGTACATTCCACTCCATTCCATGCCATTCCATTCCATTCCATTCCATTCCATTCCATTCCATTCCATTCCATGCCTATTCTTTCGATTCTATTCCATTCGAATCCATTCTATTCGAGTCCATTCCTTTCCTTCCAGTCCATTTGATGACATTCCATTCGATCCTATTCCATTCGATTGCATTCCATTCCATTCCATTCCATCCGATTCCATTCCATTCCATTCCATTCCATTCCATTCCATTCCATTCCATTCCATTCGTTTCCATTCCATTTGAGTCTATTCCTCTCCAGTCCATTCCATTCGAGTCCATTTCATTCCAGACCATTCCATTCGATGCCATTCCATTCGAGTCCATTCCATTCCATTGCACTCTATTCCATTCGACTCCATTCGATTCCATTCCATTCCATCTTATTCCATTCCATTGTATTCCATTCCATTTTATTACATTCCATTCTATTCCATTCCATTTGAGTCAGTTACATTGCAATCCATTACATTCGAGTCTGTTCTATTCCAGTCCATTCCATTCCGATCCATTCCATTTGATTTCATTCCATTCTATTCCATTCCATACTATTGCAGTTGATTTGATTCCATTCTATTAGAATAATTTCCATTCGAATCCAATCCTTTTGAGTCCATTCTATTCGCGTACATTCCATTAGAGTCCATTACATTTTGGTCCATTCCATTCCATTCAATGCCATTCCATTCGATTCTATTTCATTAGAGTCCATTTAATTCCATTCCATTAGTTTCCATTCCATTGGAGTCCATTCCACTCCAGTCGATTCCATTAGAGTCCATACCATTCCAGTCTATTCCATTCCAGTCCATTCCATTTGATATCTTTCAATTAGTCTCCATTCCATTCTATTCCTTCGATTCCATTCCATTTGAATCAATTACATTGCAATCCATTACATTCGAGTCCATTCTATTCCAGTCCATTTCATTCCGTTCCATTCCATTTGATTCCATTTCATTCGCTTCCATTCCACACTATTACATTCCATTTGATTCTATTCTATTTGAATAAATTCCATTCGAGACCATTCCTTTTGAGTCGATTATATTAGAGTCCATTCCATTCGAGTCCATTACATTTTGGTCGATTCCATTCCATTCCATTGTATTCCTTTCCATTCCATTCGATGCCATTGTTTTCAATTCTATTCCATTCAAGTCCATTCCGTTCGAGCCCATTCCATTCCATTCCTTTCCATTTGATGTCATTCTAATCGACTCTAATCCATTCGATTCCAACCCAATCCATTCCATTCCATACGATTCCATTCCATTCTATTCATTCCATTCCATTCCATTAAATTCATTTCCATTCTATTCGAGTCCATTCCACTCCAGTCTATGCCATTCAAGTCCATTCCATTCCAGTCCATTCCATTCGAGTCCATTCCATTCCATTCCATTCCATATCTTTCCATTAAACTCCATTCCATTCTATTCCTTTCGATTCCATTCAATTCCATTCCATCCGTTTCCATTCCATTCGATTACATTCTATTCAACTCCATTCCATTCGACTCCATTCCATTCCATTCCATTCCCTTCCATTCTATTCAATTACAATCCGTTTGATTCCATGCCATTCCATTCGAATCCATTTTATTCCAGTCCATTCTATTCAATTCCATTTCTTTCGATTCCATTCCACTCGATTCCACTCCTTTCTATTCCATTGCATTCCATTCCATTCCATTCCACTGCATTCCATTCCATTCCATTTGATTACATTTCACTCGATTCCATTCCATTCAAATCAATTACATTGCAACGCATTACATTGGAGTCCATTCTATTCTAATCCATTCCATTCCACTCCATTCCATTCAATTCCATTACATTCGATTCTATTCCATACAATTGCATTCCATTCAATTCCATTCCATACAATTGCATTCCACTCGATTCCATTCTATTCAAATAAATTCCATTTGATACCATTCCTTCGGAGTCCATTCTATTTGAGTACATTCCATTTGAGTCCATTACATTTGGCTCCATTCCATTCCATTCTATCCCATTCCATTCAATGCCATTACATTCTATTCTTTTTCATTCGATTCCATTCCATTCAATTCCATTCCATTCCAATCCATTCCATTCCATTCCATTCCATTCCATTCCATTCCATTCCATTTCATTCTATTCGATGCCATTCCATTCTATTCTATTCCAATCGACTCCATTCCATTCCATTCTTTTCCATCCGATTCCATTCTATTCTATTCCTTTGCATTCCAATCCATTCCATTCGTTTCCATTCCATTCGAGTCCATTCCATTCCATTCAATGCCATTCCATTCGATTCTATTCCATTCGACTCCATTCCATTCCATTCCATCCGTTTCCATTCCATTCTATTCCTTTCAATTCCATTCCATTCCTTTCCATTCCATTGGAAGCCATTCCATTCGATTCTATTCCATTTGATGCCATTCAATTCCATTCCGTTCTGTCCGATTCCCTTCCATTCTATTCCATTCCATTCCATTCCATCGCATTCCTTTTGAGTCCATTCAATTCCAATCCATTCCATTCAATATCTTTCCATTACCCTCCATTCCATTCTATTCCTTTCAATTCCATTCAGTTCCATTCCATTCCATTTCATTCCATTGATTACATTCCATTCGACTCCATTCCTTTTGAGTCCAGTCCATTCCATTCCATTCCATTCCATTCCATTCCATTCCATTCCATTGTAATCCGTTCAATTCCATTTTTTCCAGTACATTCCATTCGAGTCCATTCTATTCCAGTCCATTCCAGGCGAGTCCATTCCATTCCATTCCGTTCAACTCGATTCCACTCCATTCCATTCCATGTGCGTTCCATTCAATGCCATTCCATTGCATTCGATTCCAATCCATTTGGTTACATTCCATTCCATTAAATTCCATTCAAATAAATTACATTGCAATCCATTACATTCGAGTCCTTTCTATTCCAGTGCATTTAATCCATTCCATTCCATTCCATTTGATTCCATTCCATTCGATCCCATTCCATACTATTGCACTCCATTCGATTCCATTCTATTCGCATAAATTGCATTCGAGACCATTCCTTTCGAGTCCATTGTATTTGAGTCCATTCCATTTGAGTCTATTACATTTGGGTCCATTCCATTCCATCCGTTTACATTCGATGCCATTGCATTCTATTCTTTTCCATTCGAGTCCATTCCATTCAAGTCCCTTCCATTCCATTCCATTCGATGCTATTCCATTCCATTCTGTTCCAATGGACTCCAATCCATTCCATTCAAGTCCTTTCCATTCCATTCCATTCCATTCCATTAGATGCTATTCCATTCCATTCTGTTCCAATGGACTCCATTCCATTCCATTCCGTTCCTTCCAATTCCATTCCTTTCTATTCCTTTCTCTTCCAATCCATTCCATTCCATTCCATTACTTTCCACTCCTTTCGAGTCCATTCCATTCCATTCGATGCCATTCCACTCGATTCTATTCCATTCGATTTCAATCCATTCTATTCCATTCCATCCCACTCCATTCCATTCTAATCGTTCCATTCCATTCCATTCCATTCTTTTCCATTTCATTCGAGTCCATTCAACTCCAGTCCATCCCTTTCAAGTCCATTCCATTCCAGTCCATTCCTTTCCATTCTATTCCATTCGATATCTTTCCATTACCCTCCATTCTTTCTATTCCTTTTGATTGTGTTCAATTCCATTCTATTCAATTCCATTCCATTCTATTCGACTCCATTCCATTTGGTTCCATTCCATTCCATTCCATTCCATCCCATGCCATTCCATTCCACTGGATTCCACTCTGTTCCATTTTATTGCACTCCATTCTATTCCATTCCATTCCATGCCATTCCATTCTATTCTATTCCATTTGAGTCCATTTCATTCTAGTCCATTGCATTCCATTCCATTCGATGGCATTGCATTCAATTCTATTCTCTTAGACTGCATTCCATTCCATTCCATCCCATTCCATTGCATTCTATTCCTTTCCATTCCATTGCATTCCATTCCATTCAAGACCATTCCACTCCAGTCCATTCCATTTGAGTCCATTCCTTTCCCATCCATTCCATTCGAGTCCATTCCATTCCATTCCATTCGATATCTTTCCATTACACTCCCATCCATTCTGTTCCATCCGATTCCATTCCATTCTATTCCTTTCCATTCATTCCATTCCATTCCATTCTGTTCCATCCCATTTGTTTCCATCCCATTTGAGCCCATTCCACTCCAGTCCATTCAATTCGAGTCCATTCCATTCCATTCCATTCCATTCGAGTCCATTCCCTTCCATTCCATTGCATTCAAAATCTTTCCACTACACTCCATTCCATTCTATTCCTTACGATTCCATTCCATTCCATTCCATTCCATTCCATTCCATTCCATTCGATTCCATTCCATTTGACTCCATTCCATTCGAGGCCATTCCATTCCATTCCGTTCCGTTTCGTTTGGTTCCAATCCGTTCAATTCCATTATGTTTCAGTCCATTCCATTCGAGTCCATTCCATTTCAGTCCATTCCAATCGATTCCATTCCATTTGATTCCATTCCATTTGATTCCATTCCACCCGATATCAATCCGTTCCATTACATTGCGTCCCATTCTATTCCGTTCCATTGCATTCCATTCAATTCCATTTGATCACATTCCATTCCATTCCATTCCATTCGAAACAAATACATTGCAATCCATTACATTTGAGTCCGTTCTATTCCAGTCCATTCCATTCCAGTCAATTCCATTCGATTCCATTCCATACTATTTCATTCCATTCAATTCAATTCTATTCGAATAAATTTCATTCGTGACCTTTCCTTTCAAGTCCATTCTATTTGAGTCCATTCCATTGGAGTCTATTACATTTGGGTCCATTCCATTCCATTCCATTCCATTCCATTTCATTCCATTCCATTCCATTCCATTCGATGCCATTCCATTCGATTCTATTCCATTCGAGTCCATTGCATTCAAGTCCATTTCATTTCATTCCATTCCATTTCATTCCATTCCATTCGATGCCCTTCCATTTGATTCTATTCCATTCGATACCGTTCCATCCCATTCCATCCGATTCCATTCCATTCTATTCTTTTCCATTCCATTCCATTACATTCCATTCGTTTCCATTACATTCGTGTCCATTCCTCTCCAGTCCATTCCATTCGAGTCCATTCCATTGCAGTCCATTGCATCCGAGTCCTTTCCATTCTATTCCATTCGATATCTTTACATTAAACTGCATTCCCTTCTATTCATTTTGATTCCATTCAATTCCATTCCATTCTATTCCATTCCCTTCAATTCCATTCCATTTGACTCCATTCCATTCGAGCCCATTCCATTCCATTACATTCTGTTGCGCTCGATTCCAATCCGTTTGTTCTCATTTTGTTCCTCTCCACTCCATTAGAGTCCATTCCATTCCAGTCCATTCCATTCAATTCCATTCCATTTGATTCCATTTCATTCTATTCCATTCCACTCGATTCCACTCCGTTCCATTCCTTTGCATTCCATTCTATTCCTTTCCATTGCATTCCGTTCCATTCAATTTGTTTACATTCCAGTGGATTCCATTCCATTTGAATCAGTTACATTGCAATCCATTACATTCTTGTCCATTCTGTCCCATTCCATTCCATTCTGGTCCAATCCATTCGATTCCATTCCATTCGATTCCATATCATACTATTGCATTCCATTTGATCCCATTCTATTTGAATAAATTCCATTCGAAACCATTAGTTTCAAGTCCATGCTATTTGAGACCATTCCATTCGAGTCCATTACATTTGGGTATGTTCTATTACATTACATTCAATTCGTTCCCATTGCATTTCATTCTATTGCATTTGAGTCCTTTCCATTCGAGTCCATTCCATTCCATTCCATTCCATTCCATTCCATTCGACGCCATTCCATTCGATTCTTTTCCATTCGATGCGGTTCCATTTCATTCCATTCCATCCGATTCCATTCCATTCTATTCCTTTCCTTTCCATTCCATTCCATTCTTTTCCATTCCATTCGAGTCCATTCCACTCCAGTCCATTCTATTCGAGCCCATTCCTTTCCATTCCATTCCATCGAGTCCATTCCTTTCCATTCCATTCCATTCCATTCAACATCTTTCAATTACACTCCATTCCATTCTATTCCTTTCGATTCCGTACAATTGCATTCTATTCCATTCTATTCCATTCCATTCCATTCCATTCCATTCCATTCCACTCCATTCCAGTCGAGTCCATTCCATTCCTTTCAATTCAAATCCGTTCGTTTCCATTTTGTTCCAGTCCATTCCATTCGAGTCCATTCCATTCCAGTCCATTCCATTCGATTCCATTCCTTTCGATTCCATTCCACTTGACTCTACTCCATTCCATTCCATTGCATTCCATTCTATTCCATTCCATTGCATTCCATACCATTCCATTTGATTCCATTACATTCGATTCCATTCCATTTGAATCAATTAGATTGCAATCCATTACATTCGAGTCCGTCGTATTCCAGTCCATTCCATTCCGATCCATTCCATTTGATTCCATTCTATTCGATTCCATTCCATACTATTGCATTCCATTCGATTCCATTCTATTCGAATAAATTTCATTCAAGATCATTCCTTTCAAATCCATTCTATTTCAGGGCATTCCATTCGAGTCTATTACATTTGGGTCCATTCCATTCCATTCCATTTGATGCCATTCCATTTGATTCTATTCCATTCGAGTCCACTCTATATGAGTCCTTTCAATTCCATTCCATTCCATTCGATGCCATTCAATTTGATTCTATTGCATTTGACTCCATTCCATTCCATTCCGTTCTGTCTGATACCATTCCATTCTATTCCTTTCCATTCCATTCCGTTCTATTCCATTCGTTTCCATTCCATTCGAGTCCATTCCAGTCGAGTCCATTCCATTCGACTCCATTCCATTCCAGGCCATTCCATTCGAGTCCATTCCATTCGATACCCTACCATTACACTCTATTCCATTCTATACATTTCGATTCCATTAAATTCCATTCAATTCGATGCCATTCCATTCGTTTCCATGTCATTCGAATCCATACCTTTCGAGTCCATTCCATTCCCTTCCATTCCATTCCATTACATTCGATCCCAGTCTCTTCGATTCCATTTTGTTCTGGTCCATTCCATTCGAATCCATTCCATTCCATTCGATTCCTTTCCATTTGGTTCCATTCCTGTCAATTCCACTCCCTTCCATTCCATTGAATTGCATTCTATTCCATTCTATTGCATTCCATTCCATTCCATTTGATTACATTCCATTTGAATCCATTCCATTCAAATAAATTACTTTCCAGTGCATTACATTCGAGTCCATTCTATTCCATTCCATTCCATTCCGTTCCTTTCCATTCGATTCCATTCCATTCGATTCCATTCCATAATATTGCATTCCTTTCTATTCCATTCTATTCGAATAAATTCCTTTCGAGAACATTCTTTCAAGTCCATTCTGTTTGAGTCCATTCCATTTGAATCCAAATGGACCCCAAAGGGTCCATTCCATTCCGTTCCATTCTGTTCGATGCCATTCAATCCTATTCTATTCCATACGAGTCGATTCCATTCCATTCCATTCCCTTCCATTTGATGACATTCCATTCGATTCTATTCCATTCGACTCCATTTCATTCCATTCCGCTCCTTCCGATTCCATTCCATTCTATTGCATTCCATCCCATTCCAATACATTCGTTTCCATTCCATTCGAGTTCATTCCACTCCAGTGCATTCTATTTGAGCCCATTCCATTCCAGTCCATTCCATTTGAGCCATTTCATTCCATTCCTTACGATGTCTTTCCATTACACTCCATTCCATTCTATTCCGTTTGATTCCATTCAATTCCATTCCATTCGGTTTCATTCCATTCGACTCCATTCCTTTTGACTCCATTCCATTCCACTCTGTTCCATTCGATTCCAATCCGTTTGATTCCATTTTGTTCCACTGCATTCCATTCGAGTGCATTCCATTCCATTCGTTTCCATTCCTTTCAATTCCATTCCATATGATTCCATTCCACTCTCTTCCACTCTGTTCCATTCCATTGCATTCCATTCTATTCCATTCAGTTGAATTCCATTCCATTCCATTTGATTACATTCCGCTCAACTCCATTCCATTCGAACCAATTACATTGCAATACATTACATTTCAGTCCGTTCATTTCAAGTCCATTCCATTCAAGTCCATTCCATCCAATTCCTTTCCTTTCAATTTTATTTCATACTATTGCTTTCCACTCGATTCCATTCTATTCAAATAAATTCCATTCGAGGCCATTCCTTTCGAGTCTACTCTATTTGAATCCATTCCATTTGAGCCCATTACATTTGGGTGAATTTTACTCCATTCCATTCTAATCCATTCCATTCCATTCCATTGGATTGCTTTCCACTCCATTCCATTCCTTTCCATTCCACTCCATTCCATTCCATTCCATTCAATGACTTTCCATTCAATTCTAATCCATTCGACATCATTCCATTCCATTCCATCCGATTCCATTCCGTCCTATTCCTTTCCAGTCCCTTCCATTCCATACCATTCCATTCGTTTCCATTCCATTCGAGTCCATTCCATTCCAGTGCATTAAATTCGAGTCCGTTCCCTTCCATTCCATTCGATATCATTCCATTACACTCCATTCCATTCTATTCATTTCAATTATATTCAATTCCATTCCATTCGATCCCATTCCATTCGATACCATCCCATGCGACTCCATTCCCTTCGAGTCCATTCCATTCCAGTCCATTCCATTTCATTCAATTCCATTCGATTACATTCCTTTCAATCCCATTCCACTTGATTCCACTCCATTCCATTTCATTATATTCCATTCTATTCCATTCCATTGCATTCCACTCCATTCCATTTGATTACATTCCATTCATTTCCATTCCATTCTAATCAATTACATTGCAATCCATTACATTCGAGTGCATTCTATTTCAGTCGATTCCATTCAAGTCAGTACTATTGGATTCTATTCCATTCCATTATATTCCATTCTATTGCATTCGTTTCGATTCCATTCTATTCGAATAAATACCACTCGAGACCATTCCTTTCAAGTCCATTGTTTTTGAGTCCATTCCTTTCGAGTCCATTACATTTCCGTCCAGTCCATTCCATTCCATTCGGTGCCATTCCATTCTATTCTATTCCTTTCAAGTGCATTCCATTCGATTCCATTCCATTCCATTCGTTGCCATTCCATTCGAATCTATTCCATTCAACTGCATTCCATTCCATTCCATTCCACACGATTCCATTCCATTCTGTTCCTTTGCATTCCATTCCATTCCATTCCATTCATTTCCATACCATTCCATTTCATTCGATTCCTTTCCATTCGATTCCATTTTGTTTCAGTCCGTTCCATTTGAGTCCATTCCATTCCAGTCCATTCAATGCGACTCCATTCCATTCGATTCCATTCCGTTCAATTCCATTCCTCTCGATTCCACTCAGTTCCATTCCATTGCATTCCATTCAATTACATTCCTTTGCATTCCATTCCATTCCATTTGATTCCATTCCATTTGATTCCATTCCATTCAAATCAATTACATTGCAATCCATCATATTCGAGTCTGTTCTGTTTCAGTCCTTTCCATTCCTGTCCATTCCGTTTGATTCCATTCCATTCGATTCCATTCCACATTTTCGCATTGCATTCCACACTTTCTCATTCCATGCGATTCCATTCTATTTGAATAAATTCTATTCGAGACCATTCCTTTTGAGTCCATTTTATTTGAGTCCATTCCATTCGTGTCCATTCCATTTGGGTCCATTCCATTCCATTGCAATTCATTCCATTCCATTCCATTCGATGCCAATCCATTCTATTCTATTCCTTTCGAGTACATTCCATTCGAGTCCATTCCATTCCATTCCATTCTATTCTATTTCATTTGACTCCATTCCATTCCATTCAGTTCCATCTGATTCCTTCCATTCTATTCCTTTCCATTCCTTTCCATTCAATTCTTTCCATTCGTTTCCATTTCACTCAAGTCCGTTCCATTCCAGTCCATTCCATTCGAGTCCATTCCTCTCCAGTCCATTCGATTACCTGTCCATTCCATTCGAGTCCATTCCATTCCATTCCATTCCATTCCATTCCATCCAT
>NC_000017.11:26805775-26820065 GCF_000001405.40 Homo sapiens | reverse complement strand
GACTCCATTTCATTCCATTCCGTTCCATCTGATTCCATTCCATTCTGTTCCTTTCCATTCCATTCCATTCGTTTCTATTCCATTCGAGTCCATTCCACTCCAGTCCATTCCATTCGATTCCATTTCGTTCCAGTCCATTCCATTCGAGTTGATTCCATTCCTTTCCATTCCATTCAATATCTTTCCATTACACTCCATTCTATTCTATTCCTTTCAATTCCATTCAATTCCATTCCATTCGGTTCCATTACGTTCGACTCCATTCCATTCACGTCCATTCCTTTCCATTCCATTCCATTTTGTTACATTTGATTCCAATCCGTTCGTTTCCATTTTTTTCCAGTCCATTCCATTCGAGTCCATTCCATTCCAATCCATTCCATTCGATTCCATTCCATTCAATTCCTTTCCACTCGATTCCAAGCCATTCCATTCCATTGCATTGCTTTCTGTTCCTTCCCATTCCATTCCATTGCATTCCATTTGATTACATTCCATTCAATTCCATTCCTTTCGAATCAAGTACATTGCAATCCATTACATTCCAGTCAGCTGTATTCCAGTCCATTCCATTCTGGTCCACTGCACTTGATTCCAATCCATCCAATTCCATTCCATACTATTGCATTTGATTCAATTTCATTCTATTCGAATAAATTCCATTTGATACCCTTACTTTTGGGTCCATTCTGTGTCCATTCCATTAGAGTCTATTACATTTTGGTAACTTCCATTTCATTCCATTCCATTCCATTTAATTCCATTCGATTCTACTCCATTCGAGTCCATTCCTTTCCACTCCATTCGATGCCATTCCATTCTTTTCTATTCCATTCGATTCCATTCAATTTAATTCCATTCCATCCAATTCCATTCTATCGTATTCCATTCCATTTCATAAGTTTCCATTCCATTCGAGTCCATTCCACTCCAGTCCTTTCCATTCAAGTCCATTCCATTTCAGTTAATTCCATTCGTGTCCATTCCTTTCCATTTCTTTCCATTCTTTATATTTCTATTACTCTCCATTCCATTCTATTCCTTTCTATTCTATTCAATTACATTCCATTCGATTCCTTTCCATTCCGTTCCATTCCATTCAACTCCATTCCATTCGAGTCCATTCCATTCCGTTCCATTCCATTCCATTCGGTTTGATTCTGATCCATTCGATTCCCTTTTGTTCCAGTCCATTCAATTCGAGTCCATTCCATTCCAGTTGATTCCATTCCATTCCATTCCATTCAATTCCATTCCACTCGATTCCACTTTGTTCAATTCCATTGTCTTCCATTCTATTCCATTCCATTGCATTTCATTCCATTCCATTTGGTTACTGTCCATTTGATTCAAAGGCATTGGAATCAATTACATTTCAATCCAGTACATTCGATTCCATTCTATTCCAGTCCATTCCTTTCCAGTACATTCCATTCGATTCCATTCCATACTATTGCATTCCTTTGGATTTCATTCTATTCGAGTAAACTCCATTCGAGACCATTCCTTTCAAGTCCATTCTATTTGAGTCCATTCCATTCGAGTCCATTATATTTGGGTCCATTCCATTCCATTACTTTCCATTCGATTCGATGCCATTCCATTGGATTCTATTCCATTCGATTCCATTCTTCAAGTCCATTCCATTGCATTCAACTCCATTCTATTTGATGACATTCCATTTGATTCTATTCCATTCGAATCCATTCCATTCCATTCCGTTACATCCAATTCCATTCCATTCTATTCCTTTCCATTCCATTCCCTACCATTCGTTTCCATTCCATTCGTGTCCATTCCACTCCATTCCATTCCATTTGAGATCATTCCATTCAAGTTCTGTCCATTCAATTCCATTCCATTACATTCCATTTGATATCTTTCCATTACACTCCATTCCATTCTATTCCTTTTGATTCCGTTCAATTCCATTCCATTCGATTACAATCCATTCGGTTCCTTTCCATTCAACTCCATTCCATTTGAGTCCATTCTATTCCATTTCATTCCGTTCTGTTCGATACCAATCCGTTCGATTCCATTTTGTTCCACTCCATTGCATTCGATTCCATTCCATTCCAGTCCATTCCATTCTATTTCATTCCATTCTTTTCCATTCCATTCGATTCCATTCCACTCGATTCCACTCCGTTCCCTTCCATTGCATTCTATTCTATTCCATTCCATTGCATGCCATTAAATTCCATTTGATTACATTCCATTCGATTCCATTCCATTCAAGTCTATTACTTTGCAATCCATTACATTTGTGTCCATTCTATTCCAGTCCATTCCATTCCGGTCCATTCCATTCGATTCCATTCCTTTCAATTCCATTCCATGTTATTGCATTCCATTCAATTCGATTCTATGCGAATGAATTCCATTCGATTCCATTCCTTTCAATTCCATTCCATATTATTGCATTCCATTCGATTCCATTCTATTTGAATAAATTCCATTCGATTCCATTCCTTTCGATTCCATTCTATTTGAGTCCATTCCATTCGAATACATTTCCTTTGGGTCCGTTCCATTCCATTCGATGGCATTCCACTCTATTCTATTCCTTTTGAGTCCATTCCATTGGAGTCCATTCCATTCCATTCCATTCCATTCTATTTGATGCCAATCCATTCGAATCTACTCCATTCTATTTCATTCCATTCGAGTCCATTCCAATCCATTCTATTCCATTCCATTCGATGCCATTCCATTTGACTCTATTCCATTCGAATCCATTCCATTCCATTCCGTTCCTATCGTTCCGTTCGATTCCAAGCCGTTTGATTCCAGTTTGTTCCAGTCCATTCCATTCGAGTCAATTCCATTCAAGTCCATTCCATTACAGTCCATTCCATTCGATTCCATTACATTGGATTCCGTTCCATTCGATTCTATTCCACTCCATTCCACTGCATTCCATTCCATTGCATTGCATTCTCTTCCATTCCATTGCATTGCATTCCATTCCATTTGATTACATTCCGTTCGATTGCATTCCATTCGAGTCCATTCCATTCCAATCCATTCGATGCCATTCCATTCTATTCTATTCCATTCGAGTCCATCCCATTCCGTTCCATTCCATTTGATGCCATCCCATTCGATTCTATTCCATTTGACTCCATTCCTTTCCATTCCATTCCATCTGATTCCATTCTATTATATTCCTTTCCATTCCATTCCATTCTATTCCATTCCATTCATTTCCATTCCTTTCAAGTCCATTCCACTCCATTTCATTCCATTCGATTCCATTCTATTCTAGTCCATTCCATTCGAGTCCATTCCATTCCTTACCATTCCATTTGACATCTTTCCATTACATTCCATTCCATTCTATTCCTTTCTATTCCATTCAATTCCAATCAGTTTGATTCCATTCCATTCCTTTCTATTCCTTTCCATTCCATTCCATTCCATTCGATGCCATTCCATTCGATTCTATTCCATTCGAGTACATTCCATTTGAGTCCATTTCATTCTATTCCATTCGATTTGATTCCATTCCATTCCATTTGAAGCCATTCAATTTGATTCTATCCCATTCGACTCCATTCTATTCCATTCTGTTCCAACCGATTGCTTTCCATCCCATTCCATTCATTTCCGTTCCATTCGAGTCCATTCTTCTACAGTCCATTCCATTCGAGTCCATTCCATTCCAGTCCATTCTATTCGAGTCCATTCCCTTCCATTCCATTCCATTTGATATCTTTCCATTACACTCCATTCCATTGTATTCCTTTCGATTCCATTCAATTCCATTCAATTTGATTCCATTCCATTCGATTCCATTCCTTTCAACTCCATTCCGTTCGTGTGAATTCCATTCTGTTCCATTCCATTCCGTTCCATTCCATTCCTTTCCATTCCGTTCCATTCTATTCCTATCCATTCAATTCCATTTTGTTCCAGTCCATTCCATTCGACTCCATTCCATTCAGGTGCATTCCATTCCATTCCATTGCGATCCATTCAATTCCAATCCGTTCGATTACATTTTGTTCCAGTCCATTCCATTTGATTTGATTCCATTCGAGTCCATTCTGTTCGATTCCATTCCATTCAATTCCATTCCACTCGATTCCACTCCGTTCCATTCCATTGCATCCCATTCCATTCCATTCCATTCCATTTGATTACATTCCATTCGATTCCAAGGCATTCGAATCAATTACATTTCAATCCATTACATTGATGTCCATTCTATTCCAGTCCATTCCATTCTAGTCAATTCCATTCGATTCCATTCCATTCAATTCCATTCCCTACCATTGCACTCCTTTTGATTCCATTCAATTCAGTTACATTTGAGACCATTCCTTTCGAGTCCATTCTATTTGAATCCATTACATTTGAGTCCATTACATTTGGGTCCATCCCATTCCATTCCTTTCTATTCCATTCGATGCCATTCCATTCGATTCTATTCCATTAGAGTCCATTCCATTCGTGTCCATTCCATTTCATTCTATGCCATTCCATTCGATACCATTCCATTCGACGCTATTCCATTGTCTCCATTCCATTTCATTCCAATCCATCCGATTCCATTTCATTCTATTCCTTTCCATTCCATTCCGTTTGTTTCCATTACATTCGTGTCCATTCCACTCCAGTCCATTCCACTTCAGTTCTTTCCATTCCATTCCATTCCTATCGAGTCCATTGGATTCCATTCCATACCATTTGATATCTTTCCATTACACTCCACGCCATTCTATTCCTATAGATTCCATTCAATTCCATTCCATTCGATTCCACTCCATTCGTTTCCATTCCATTCGACTCCATTGCATTCGAGTCCATTATATTGCATTACATCTAATCTGTTCCGTTTGATTGCAATCCATTTGATTACATTTTATTCCAGTCCTTTACATTCTAGTCCATTCCATTCGATTCCATTCCATTCGATTCCATTCCATTCGATTCCATTCCAATCGATTCCACTACATTCCATTCCACTACATTCCTTTCTATTCCATTCCATTGCATTCCATTCCATTCCATTCCATTCCATTCCATTCCATTCCATTCCATTCGAATCAGTTATATTGCAATTCATTACATTCGAGTCCGTTCTATTGCAGTCCATTCCATTGCGGTCCAGTCCATTCCATTCCATTAAATTCCATTCCATTCCATACTATTCCAGTCCATTCGATTCCATTCTTTTCAAATAAATTTCATTTGAGGTTATTGCTTTGGAATCCTTTCCATTTGAGTCCATTCCATTCGAGTCTATTCCATTCGAGTCCATTACATGGGCCTCCATTCCATTCCATTCCATTCCATTCCATTCCATTCCATTCCACTCCATTCCATTCGATTTGATGCCATTCTATTCAATTCTATTTGAATCGTCTCTGTTCTATTCGATTCCATTCCATTCCATTGCATTTCATTCCATTCGATGCCATTCCTGTGGATGCTATTCCCTTCAATTCCATTCAATTCCATTCCATTCCATCCAATTCGATTCCATTATATTCCTTTCCATTCCATTCTATTCCATTCGTTTCCATTCCATTCTATGAGTCTATTCCATTCGAGTCCATTCCATTTCAGTCCATTCCATTCCAGTACATTCCATTTGATTCCATTCCATTCGATTCCTTTCCATTCGATTCCATTCCTCTCGATTACACTCTGTTCCATTCCATTGCATTCCATTCTCTTCCATGCCATTGCTTTCGATTGCATTCCATTTGATTACATTCCATTAGTTTCCATTCCATTTGAATCAATTACATTGCAATCCATAACATTCGAGTCTGTTCTATTTCAGTCCATTCCATTCCATTTCATTCCAATGGATTCCATTCCTTTCAATTCCATTCCATACTATTGCATTCCATTCTATTCCATTCTTTTCATATAAATTCCATTTGAGACCATTATTTTCGAATCCATTCTATTTGATTCCATTCTATTCGAGTCCATTACATTTTGGTCCATGCCATTCCATTCATTTCCATTCCATTCTATGCCATTCCATACTATCGTATTCCACTCAAGTCCATTGAATTCAAGTCCATTCGCTTCCATTCCATTACTTTCCTTTCCTTTCCATGCCATTGCATTTGATTCTATTCCATTCGACTCCATTGAATTCCATACTATCGTATTCCACTCGAGTCCATTGAATTCAAGTCCATTCACTTCCATTCCATTACTTTCCTTTCCTTTCCATGCCATTGCATTTGATTCTATTCCATTCGACTCCATTGCATTCCATTCCGTTCCATCCAATTCCATTCCATTCTATTCCTTTCCATTCCGTTCAATTGCATTCCATTCATTTCCATTGTATTCGAGTCCATTCTACTCCAGTACATTCCATTCTATTCCATTCCATTCCATTCCAGTCCATTCCATTCGAGTCCACTCTATTCAATTCCAATCCATTCAATATCTACCCGTTACACTCCATTAAATTCTATTCCATTCAATTCCATTCCATTCGGTTACATTCCATTCGACTCCATTCCATTCGAGTCCATTCCATTCCATTCCAATCCATTCTATTCCATTCCATTCCATTCAATTCCAATCCGTTCGAATCCATTTTGTTCCAGTCCATTCCATTTGAGTCCATTCCATTCCAGTACATTCCATTCGATTCCATTAAATTCAATTCCTTTCCATTCGATTCCATTCCACTCGATTCCACTCCATTCCATACCATTGCATTCCATTATATTTCATGCCATTGCATTCCATTCTATTCCATGCCATTGCATTGCATTCCATTCCATTAGATTACATTCCATTCATTTCCATTCCATTTGAATCAATTACTTTGCAATGAATTACATTCGAGTTGGTTCTATTCCAGTCCATTCCATTCCGCTCCATTCCATTTGATTCCATTCCATTCGATTCCATTGCATACTGTTGCATTCCATTCGATACCATTCTATGCGAATAAATTCCATTCGAGACCCTTCCTTTCGAGTCCATTCTATTTGAGTCCATTCCCTATGAGTCCATTATGTTTGGGTCCATTCCATTCTATTCCAATCAATTCCATTCCATTCGATTCTATTCCATTTGATTCCATTCCATTCGACTCCATTCCATTAGAGTCCATGCCATTCCATTCCATTCCGTTACGTTCGATTCCCATCCGTTCGATAAAATTTTTTCCAGTCCATTCCATTCGATTCCATTCCATTCCAGTCCATTCCATTCGATTCCATTCCATTTGATTCCATTCCATTCGATTCCATTGCACTCGATTCCACTACATTCCATTCTATTGCATTCCATTCTGTTCCATTCCATTGCAGTCCATTCTATTACATTCCATTAAATTCCATTGCATTCCATTGCATTCCTTTGGATTCCCTTTGATTACATACCATTCTATTCCCTTCCATTCAAATGAGTTACATTGCAATCCATTACATTCGAGTCTTTTCTATTCCAGTCATTCCAATCCGGTGCATTCAATTAGATTTTATTCCATACTATTGCATTCCATTCGAATCCACTCTATTCGAATAAATTCCATTGGAGACCATTCCTTTCGATTCCATTCTATTTGAGTCCATTCCATTCAAGTTCATTGCATTTGGGTCCATTCCATTCAATTCCATTCCATTCCATTCGATGCCATTCCATTCTATTCTATTCCATTTGACTCCATTCCATTCGAGTCCATTCCTTTCCATTCCATTCCATTCGATGACATTCCATTTGATTCTATTCCATTCGACTCCATTCCATTCCTTTCCATTCCATCCGATTCCATTCCATTCTATTCCATTGAATTCCATTCCATTTCCATTCGTTTTCATTTCTTTCGAGTCCATTCCATTCCATTCCATTCCATTCCATTCGATGCCATTCCATTCGATTCTATTCCATTCGACTCCTTTCCATTCCATTTCGTTCCATCCGTTTCCATTCCATTCTATTGCTTTCCATTCCATTCCAATCTTTCCATTCCATTCCATTCGTTTCCATTCCTTTGGAGTCCATTCCACTCCAGTTTATTCCATTCGAGTCCATTCCATTCCATTCCACTCCTTTCGAGTCCATTCCATTCCATTCCATTCCATATATTTGCATTACACTCCATTCCATTATATTCCCATCGATTCCATTGATTTCCATTCTATTCAATTCTATTCCATTCGACTCCATTCCATTCGAGTCCATTCCATACCATTCCATTCCATGTCTTTCCATTCGACTCCATTCCATTCTATTTCATTCCATTCCATTCTATTCCATTCCATTACATTCCATTCCGTTCGTTTCCAGTCCATTCGAGTCCATTCCATTCCATTCCATTCGATGCCATTCCATTTGAATCCATTCCATTCGACTCCATTCCATTCAAGTCCATTCCATACCACTCTATTCCATCTCTGTCCTTTCGATTCCAATCCATTTGATTCCATATTGTTCCAGTCCATTCCATTCCAGTCTATTCCCTTCCAGTCCATTCCAATCGATTCCATTCTATTCCATTCCTTTCCATTCACTTCCATTCCACTCGATTCCACTCCATTTCATTCCATTGCATTCCATTCTATTCCATTCCGTTGCATTCCATTTCATTCCATTTGATTACATTCCATTTGATTCCATTCCATTCGATTCCATTACATTGCATTCCATTACTTTCGAGTATGTTCTATTCCAATCCATTCCATTCCGGTCCATTCCATTCGATTTAGATCCCTTTGATTCCATTCCATATTATTGCATTCCTTTCGATTCCATTCTATTCGAATAAATTCCATTCGTGACCATTCCTTTCAAAATGAATTCTATTTGAGTCCATTCCATTCGAGTCCATTACATTTGGTTGCATTCCATTCCATTCCTTTCTATTGTATTCCATTCGTGTCCATTCCTTTCAAGTCCATTCCATTCCATTCCATTCCATTCGATGCCATTGCATTCGATTTTATTCCATTCGACTCCATTCCATTCCGTTTCTTTCCATCCGATTCCATACCCTTCTACTCCTTTCCTTTCCTTTCCATTCCATTCCGTAACGTTCGTTTCCATTCCATTCACATTCATTCAATTCCTTTCAATTCGAGTCCATTCCATTCCATTCGATATGTTTCCATTACACTCCAGTCCATTGTAATCCTTTCAATTCTATTCAATTCCATTCCATTCAATTCCATTCCATTCGTTTCCATTCTATTCGAATCCATTCCATTCGAGTCCATTCCATTCCATTCCGTTCCGTTCCGTTCGATTTGAATCAGTTTGATTTTATTTTGTTCCAGTCCATTCCATTCGAATACATTCCATTCCATTCCATTCCATTCGAGTCCATTCCATTCCAGTCCATTCCATTCGAGTCCATTCCATTCAATTTCATTCCAGTAGATTCCACTTCTTTCCATTCCATTCCATTCCATTCCATTTGATTACTTTCCATTCGACTCCATTCCATTCGAATCAATTACATGGCAATCCATTACATTCGAGTCCGTTCTATTCCAGTCAATTCCATTCCAGTTAATTCCATTCGATTCCATTCCATTAGATTCCATTCTTACAACTGCATTGCATTCGATTCAATTCTATTTGAATAAATTCCTTTCCATTCCATTTGATGCCATTCCATTCGATTCTATCCCATTCAACTCCATTCCATTTCATCCAATTGCATTCCATTCAATCCCTTTCCATTCCATTCCATTCCATTCCATTTGTTTCCAATACATTTGATTCCATTCCACTCCAGTCTATTCCATTCATGTCCATTCCATTCCAGTCCATTCCATTCGTGTCCTTTCCATTCCATTCCATTTGATATCATTCCATTACACTCCATTCAATTATATTCCCTTCAATTCCATTGAATTCCAGTCTATTCAATTCCATTCCATTCAACTCCATTCCATTCGACTCCATTCCTTACCATTCCATTCCATTCCATTCTGTTCAACTCCAATCCGTTCTATTCCATTTTGTTCCAGTCCATTCTATTCGTGTCCATTCCATTCCATTCCATTCGATATCTTTCCGTTACACACAATTCCATTCTATTCCATTCCATTCCATTCGTTATCTTTCCGTTACACACAATTCCATTCTATTCCATTCGATTCCATTTAATTCCATACCATTCGATTCCATTCCATTTGATTCCATTCTATTCAATTCCATTGCACTCGATTCCACTACTTTCTTTTCCATTGAATTCTATTCTATTCCATTCGTTTGCTTTCCATTCCATTCCATTAGATTACATTCCATTCAATTGCATTCCATTCGAATCAATTGTTTTGCAATCCATTACATTCGAGTTCATTCTATTCCAGTCCATTTCATTCCCGTCCATTCCATTCGATTCCATTCCATACATTTGCATTCCCTTAGATTCCATTCTATTTGAATAAATTCCATTAGAGACCATTCCTTTCGACTCTATTCCATTCAATTCCATTCCACTCGATTCCATTCTATTCAATTCCATTCCATTCGATTCCATTCCACTCGATTCCATTCCACTCAATTCCACTCCATTCCATTCCATTGTATTCCATTCAATTCCATTCGATTGCATTCCATTCCATTCCATTTGATTACATTCCATTCGATTCCATTCCATTCTAAACAATTACATTGCAGTCCACTACATTCGAATGAGTTCTATTCCAGTCCATTCCATTCCGTTGCATTCCATTTGATTCCATTCCATTTGATTCCATTCCACACTATTTTATTCCATTCGATTATATTCTATTCTAATAAATTCCCTTTGAGACCATTCCTTTCGATTCCATTCTATTTGAATCCATTCCATTCGAGTCCATTACATTTGAATCCATTCCATTGCATTCCATTCCATTCCATTCGATGCTTTTCCATTCGATTCTATTCCATTTGACTCCATTACATTCCGTTCCATCCGATTCCATTCCATTTTATTCCATTCCTTTCCATTCTTTCCATTCGTTTCCATTCTATTCGAGTCTGTACTACTCCTGTCCATTCCATTGAAGTCCATTCCATTGCAATCCATTCCATTCAAGTCCATTCCTTTAGATTCCATTCGATATCATTCCATTTCACTCCACTCAATTCTATTCCTTTCGATTCCATTCAATTCCATTCCATTCGATTCCATTCCATTTGACTCCATTCAATTCTAGTCCATTCCATTCCATTCCATTTCATTCCTGTCCATTCCATTCCAGTCCATTCCATTTGATTCCATTCCATTCGATACCATTCCTTTCTATTCCATTCCACTCGATTCCACTCCGTTCCATTCCACTGCATTCCAACCTCTTCAATTCCATTGCATTCCATTCAATTCCATTTGATTACATTCCACTCGATTCCATTCCATTCGAATCAATTACATTGCAATCCATTATATTCGAGTCCGTTCTCTTCCAGTCCATTCCATTGCAGTCCATTACCTTCGATGCCATTCCATATTATTGCATTCCATTCGATTCCATTCTATTCGAATTAATTCTACTTGAGACCATTGCTTTCTAGTCCTTTCTATTTGAGTCCATTCCGTTCGAGTCCATTACATTTCGGTCCATTCCATTCCATTCCATTCAATGCCATTCCATTTGAGTCCAATCCATTCATTTACATTCAATTCAATTCCATTCGATGCCATTCCATTTGATTCTATTCCATTCAACTCCATTCCCTTCCATTCCATTCAATCCGATTCCATTCCATTCTGTTCCATTCCATTCCATTCCATTGCATTCCATTCCATTCCATTGCATTACTTTCAATTCCATTCCAATCCAGTCCATTCCATTTGATTCCATTCCATTTTAGTCCATTCCATTCGAGTAGATTCCATTCCAGACCATTCCATTCCATTCGATGCCATTGCATTCAGTTCTATTCCATTTGACTGCATTCCATTCAATTCCATTCCTTTCCATCCGATTCCATTCCATTCCATTCCATTCCATTCGTTTCCATTGATTCGAGTCCATTCCACTGCAGTCCATTCCATTCGAGTCCATTCCATTTTAGTCCATTCCATTTTAGTCCATTCCATTCCATTCCATTCGATATCTTTCCATTACACTCCATTCCATTGTATTCCTTTCAATTCCAATCATTTCCATTGCATTTGATTCCATTCCATTCGATTCTATTCCATTCGACTCCATTCTATTCGAGTCAATTCCATTCCATTCCATTCCTTTCCTTGCGATTCCAATCTGTTCCATTACATTTTGTTCCATTCCATTCCATTCGAGTCCATTCCATTCCTGTCCATTCCATTCAATTCCATTCCATTCAGTTCCAAGCCACCCAATTCCACTCCTTTCCATTCAAGTGCATTGCATTCTATTCAATTCCATTGCATTCCATTCCATTCCATTTGATTACATTCCATTCAATTCCATTCCATTTGAATCAATTACATTGCAATCCATTACATTCGAGTCTGTTCTATTCCAGTGCATTCCATTCCACTCCATTCCTTTCGATTCCATTCCATTCGATTCCATTCCATACTATTGCATTTGATTCGATTCAATTCTATTCGAATAAATTCCATTCGAGACCATTCATTTCGAGTCCACTGTATTTGAGTCCATTACATTCAAGTCCATTACATTTGTGTCCATTCCTTTCCCTTCCATTCCATTCCATTTGATGCCATTCCATTTGACTTCTATTCATTCGAGTCCATTCCATTCGAATCCATTCCATTCCATTCAATGTCATTCTATTCAACTCTGTTCCATTTAACTCCAGTCCTTTCCATTGCGTCCCAACCGATTCCAATCCATTCTATTCCTTTCCATTCCATTCCATTCGTTTCAATTCCATTCGAGTCCATTCCACTCCAGTCCATTCCTTTTGACTCCATTCCATTCCATTCCCTTCAAGTCCATTCCTTTACAATCCATTCCATTAGACTCCATTCCATTCCATTCCATTCGATATGTTTCCATTCCATTCCATTCCACTCAATTCTTTTTGATTCCATTTAATTCCATTCCATTTGATTCCATTCCATTCAATTCCATTCCATTCGATTCCATTCCATTCGTGTCCGTTCCATTCCATTTTATTCCGTTCCATTCTATTCCAATATGTTCGATTCCATTTTGTTCCAGTTCATTCCATTTGATTCCATTCCATTCCACTCCATTCCATTCGATTCCATTCCATTTGATTCCATTCCATTCGATTCCATTGCACTCGATTGCACTACATTCCATTCTATTGCATTCCATTCTGTTCCATTCCATTGCAGTCCATTCTATTACATTCCATTAAATTCCATTGCATTCCATTGCATTCCTTTGGATTCCCTTTGATTACATACCATTCTATTCCTTCCATTCAAATGAGTTACATTGCAATCCATTACATTCGAGTCTTTTCTATTCCAGTCATTCCAATCCGGTGCATTCAATTAGATTTTATTCCATACTATTGCATTCCATTCGAATCCACTCTATTCGAATAAATTCCATTGGAGACCATTCCTTTCGATTCCATTCTATTTGAGTCCATTCCATTCAAGTTCATTGCATTTGGGTCCATTCCATTCAATTCCATTCCATTCCATTCGATGCCATTCCATTCTATTCTATTCCATTTGACTCCATTCCATTCGAGTCCATTCCTTTCCATTCCATTCCATTCGATGACATTCCATTTGATTCTATTCCATTCGACTCCATTCCATTCCTTTCCATTCCATCCGATTCCATTCCATTCTATTCCATTGAATTCCATTCCATTTCCATTCGTTTTCATTTCTTTCGAGTCCATTCCATTCCATTCCATTTCATTCCATTCCATTCGATGCCATTCCATTCGATTCTATTCCATTCCACTCCATTCCATTCCATTCCATTCCGTCCGATTCCATTCCATTCTATTCCATTCCATTGCATTCCATTCCATTCGTTTCCATTCCATTCGAGTCCATTCCATTCCATTCCATTCCATTCCATTCCATTCGATGCCATTCCATTCGATTCTATTCCATTCGACTCCTTTCCATTCCATTTCGTTCCATCCGTTTCCATTCCATTCTATTGCTTTCCATTCCATTCCAATCTTTCCATTCCATTCCATTCGTTTCCATTCCTTTGGAGTCCATTCCACTCCAGTTTATTCCATTCGAGTCCATTCCATTCCATTCCACTCCTTTCGAGTCCATTCCATTCCATTCCATTCCATATATTTGCATTACACTCCATTCCATTATATTCCCATCGATTCCATTGATTTCCATTCTATTCAATTCTATTCCATTCGACTCCATTCCATTCGAGTCCATTCCATACCA
>NC_000017.11:26735774-26805755 GCF_000001405.40 Homo sapiens | reverse complement strand
TCGATTCCATTCCATTCGAATCAATTACATTGCAATCCATTTCATTCGAGTCCATTCTATTCCAGTCCATTCCATTCTCATCCATTCCATTCTCATCCATTGTATTCGATTCCATTCCATTCTTTTGCATTCCATTCGATTCCATTCTATTTCAATAAATTCCATTCGAGACCATTTCTTTGGCGTCCATTCTATTTGAGTCCATTCCATTCGAGTTCATTTCATTTGGGTCTATGCCATTCCATTCCATTCAATGCCATTCCATTCGGTTCTACTCCATTCAACTGCATTCCATTCCATTCGGTTCCATCTGATTCCATTCCAAACTATTCCTTTCCATTCCATTTGTTTCGATTCCATTCGACTCCATTCTACTCCAGTGCATTCCATGCGAGTCTATACCATTCCATACCATTCCATTCCATTCCTTTCAGTTCGATTCCATTCGATTCGATTCACTTCCACTCAATTACACTGCATTCCAGTCCATTGCATTCCATTCTATTCCATTCCATTTCATTCCTTTCCATTCCATTTGATTACTTTCCTTTTAATTCCATTCCATTCGAATCAATTACTTTGCATTCGATTACATTCGAGTCCGTTCTAATCCAGTCCATTCCATTCCGGTCGATTCCATTCGATTCCAATCCATACTATTGCATTCCATTCGATTCCTTTCTATTCGAATAAATTCCATTAGAGGTCATACCTTTCGTGTCCATTCTATTCGAGTCCATTCCATTCGAGTCCCTTCCATCCCATTCCATTTAAGGCCATTCCATTCGATTCTATTCCATTTGACTTCATTCAATTCCATTCCATTCCACCCGATTCCAATCCATTATATTCCTTTCCCTTCCATTCCATTCCATTCGTTTCGATTCCATTCGAGTCCATTCCACTCCAGTCCATTACATTCGAGTTCATTCCATTGCAGTCCATTCCATTCGAGTCCATTCTATTCCATTCGATATCTTTCCAATACACTCCATTCCATTCTATTCCTTTTGATACCACTCAATTCCATTCCGTTTGATTCCATTCCATTCAATTCCATACGATTTGACTCCTTTCCATTCGAGTCCATTGCATTGCATTCCTTTCCACTCCATTCCATTCCATTTGATTCCAACCCTTTCGATTCCATTTTGTTACAGTCCATTCCATTAGAGTCCATTCCATTCCATTACATTCGATTCCATTCCAATCGATTCCATTCCGTTCCATTCCATTGCATTCCATTCTATTCCATTCCATTGCATTCCGTTTCATTCCATTTGATTACATTCCATTTGAATCCATTCCACTCAAATCAATTACATTACAATACATTATATTCGAGTCCGTTCTATTCCAGTCTATTCCATTCTGTTTCATTCTATTCGATTCCATTCCATACTATTGCATTCCATTCCATTCCATTCTATTCAAATAAATTTCATTCAAGACCGTTCCTTTCGATTCCATTTTATTTGAGTCCGTTCGATTCCAGTCTATTACATTAGAGTCCATTGCATTTCATTCTATTCCATTCCTTTCAATGCCATTCCATTCGATTCTATTAAATTCGAGTACATTCCATTGGAGTCCATTCCATTCCATTCCATTCATTGCCATTCCATTCGACTCAATTCTATTCGACTCCATTCCATTCCATTCCATCCGATTCCATTCCATTCTAATCCTTTCCATTCCATTCCATTTGTTTCCATTCCATTCTAGTCCGTTGCACTCCAGTCCATTCCATTCGAGTCCATTCCATTCGAATCCATTACATTCCATTTCCATTCGATATGTTTCCATTACACTCCTTTCCATTCTATTCCTTTCAATTCCATTCAATTCCATTCCATTCGACTCCATTCCTTTCGAGTCCATTCCATTCCATTCCATTCTATTCCGTTCGATTCCAATCCATTCCATTCCATTTTGTTCCTGTCCATTCCATTCGAGTCCATTCCATTCCAGTCCATTCCATTCCACTCCATTCCATTCGATTCCATTGCATTCAATTCCATTTCATTCGATTCCATTCCACTCGATTCCACTCCGTTCCACTCCATTGCATTCCATTTTATTACATTCCATTGCATTCCATTACATTCCATTTTAATACATTCCATTCGATTCCATTCCATTCAAATCTTTTACATTGCAATTGATTACATTCGAGTACATTATATTCCAGTCCATTTCATTCCAATCCAATCCATTCGATTCCATTCCATTCTATCACATTGCATTCGATTCCATTTTATTCGAATAAATTCCATTTGAGACCATTCGTTTTGAGTCCATTCTATTTGAGTCCATTCCATTCGAGTCCATTACATTTGGGTCCATTCGATTCAATCCAATCCATTCCATTCCATGCCATTCTATTCTGTTCTATTCCATTTGTGTCCATTCCATTCCATTCCACTCCATTCCATTCGATGCCATTCCATTCCATTCCATTCTATTCCATTCGACTCCATTCCATTCCATTTCCTTCCATCCATTTCCATCCCATTCTATTCTTTTCCATTCTATTCCTTTCCATTCCATTCGTTTCCATTCCATTCAAGTCCATTCCACTCCAGTCCATTCCAGTCGAGTCTATTCCTTTCCAGTCCATTCCATTCGAGCCCATTCCATTCATTCCTTTCCATTCCATTTGATATCTTTGCATTACACGCCACTCCATTCTATTCCTTTCGATTCCATTCAATTCCATTCCAGTCGGTTCCATTCCTTTCGAACCCATTCCATTAGTGTCCATTCCATTCCATTCCATTCCGTTCAATTCCATTTCATTCGAGTCCATTCCATTCGGTTCCATTAAATTCGATTCCATTCTATTTGATTCCATTCCACACGATTCCACTCCCTTCCATTCCATTGCATTACATTCTATTCCATTCAACTGCATTCCTTTGCATTCCAGTTGATTACATTCCATTCGATTCCATTGCATTTAAATCAATTATATTGTCATGCATTACATTCGAATCCGTTGTATTCAACTCCATTCCATTCCGGTCCATTCCATTCGATTTCATTGCACACTATTGCATTCCATTCGATTCCATTCTATGCGAATAAATTCCATTCGAGACCATTCCTTTCGAGTCCATTGTATTTGATTCCATTCCATTCGAGTCCATTACATTGGGGTGCATTCCATTCTGTTCCATTCCATTCCATTCGATTCCATTTTGTTCCAATCCATTCTATTCCAGTCCATTCTATTCAATTGCATTCCATTCGGTTCCATTCCACTCTCTTCCACTCTGTTCCATTCCATTTCATTCCACTCTATTCCATTCCATTGCATTCCATTCCATTCCATTTGGTTATATTCCATTCGATTCCACTCCATTCGAATCAATTACATTACAATCCATTACATTCGAGTCCGTTCTATTCCATTCAATTCCATTCCATTGCATTTCACTCAATTCCATTTGATGCGATTCCATTCCATACTGTTGCATTCCATTCTCATCCATTCCATTCGAATAAATTGCATTCGAGAAGGAACAGAAAAGACCATTCCTTGTCCTTTCTATTGGAGTCCATTCCATTCGAGTCCATTACATTTGGGTCCATTCAATTCCATTCCATACCATTCCATTCCATTTGATGCCATTCCAAATCATTCTATTCCATTTGAGTCCATTCCATTCGTGTCAGTTACATTCCATTGCATTCCATTCCAATCAATTTAATGTCATTTTATTCCATTCTATTCCATTCCATTCCATTCCATTCGATGCCATTCCAAATGATTCTATACCATTCGAATCCATTCCATTCATGTCCATTCCATTCCATTGCATTCCATTCCAATCCATTCGATGCCATTTAATTCCATTCTATTCCATTTGACTCCATTCGATTCCATTCCATTCCATCCGATTGCGTTCCATTCTATTCCATTCCATTCCATTCCATTCCATTCGTTTCCATTCCATTCAAGTACCTTCCATTTTATTCCATTCCATTCGCCATCTTTCCATTACACCCAATTCCATTGTATTCCTTTTGATTCCATTCCATTCCATTCCCTTCCATTCCAGTTCATTCCATTCGACTTCATTCGATTCAAGTCCATTCCATTCCAGTCCATCTCTTTACATTTCATTCGATTCCAATCCATTTGAATCCAATTTTTTCCAGTCCATTCCATTGCAGTCCATTCCACTCCATTCCATTCCATTCGATTGCATTCCATTCCATTCCATTCCATTCAATTCCATTCCACTTGATTCCACTCTGTTCCTTTCCATTGCATATCATTATATTCCATTCCATTGCTTACCATTCCATTCAATTTGATAAACTTCTTTTTGATTCCATTCCATTCAAATCAATTACATTGCAATACAATACATTCGCGTCCTTTCTATTCCAGTCCACTTCATTCCTGTCCATTCCATTCGATTCTATTCCATTCGATTCCATTCCATACTATTGGCTTCCATTCGATTCCATCCTATTCGAACAAATTCCATTCGAGACCATTCCTTTCGTGTCCAATCTATTTAAGTCCATTCCATTCGAGTCCATTATATTTGGGTACATTACATTCCATTCCATTTGATTCCATTCCATTTCATTCAATGCCATTCCGTTAGATTCTATGCCGTTCTTCTCTATTCCATTACATTTCGTTCCATCCAATTCCATTCCATTCTACTTTCCATTCCATTGATTCCATTCCATTCATTTCCATTCTATTCGAGTCCATTCCATTCAGGTCCATTCCTTTCCATTCCATTCGATGCCATTACAATCGATTCTATTCCATTTGACTCCATTCCATTCCATTCCATTCCATTCCGTTCCATCCGATTCCTTTTCATTCTATTCCTTTCCATTTCTTTTCATTCCATTCCATTGCAGTCCAGTCCATTCCATTCGAGTCAATTCCATTGCATTCCATTCCATTCAACATCTTTCCATCACACCCAATTCCATTCTATTGCTTTCGATTCCATTCAATTCCATTCCATTCGAATCCATTCCATTTGGTTCCATTCTATTGGACTCCATTCCACTCCAGTCCATTCCATTCCATTCAATCCCATTCCATTCCATTCGATTCCAATCCGTTCAATTCCGTTTTGTTCCAGTCCATTCCGTTTGAATCCATTCCATTCCATTCCATACCATTCAATGCCATTCCATTCGATTCTATTCCATTCGACTCCATTCCATTCCATTCAGTTCCATCTGATTCCATTCCATTCTATTTCTTTCCATTAAATTCCATTCCATTTCATTCCATTAGTTTCCATTCCTTTGGAGTCCATTTCACTCCAGTCCATTCCAATCGAGTCCATTCCATTCCCGTCCATTCTATTCAATTCCATTCTATACTTTGGTATTCCATTCAATTCCAATCTGTTCGAAGAAATTCCATTTGAAACCATTCCTTTGAGTCCATTCTATTTGGGTCCATTCCATTCGAGTCCATTATATTTAGGTCCATTCCATTCCATTCCGTTCCCTTCAATTCCAATCCGTTCGATTCCATTTTTTCTCAGTCAATTCTATTCGAGTTCATTACATTCCAGTCCATTCGATGACCTTCCAATCGATTCTATTTCATTCTACTCCATTCGATTCCATTCTGTTCCAACAGATTCCATCTCATTCTATTCCTTTCTGTTCCATTCCATTCCATTCCATTCCATTCACTTCCATTGATTCCATTCCATTCATTTCCATTCTATTCGAGTCCATTCCATTCAGGTCCATTCCTTTCCATTCCATTCGATGACATTCCAATCGATTCTATTCCATTTGACTCCATTCCAATCCATTCCGTTCCATCTGATTTGTTTCCATTCTATTCCTTTCCATTTCATTTCATTCCATTCCATTCCAGTCAATTCCATTCGAATCAATTCCATTGCATTCCATTCCATTTGACTTCTTTTCATTACACCCAATTCCATTCTATTCATTTCGATTCCATTCAATTTCATTCCATTCAAATCCATTCCATTGGACTCCATTGTATTCCATTCCATTCCATTCCATTCCATTCAATCCCATTCCATTCCATTCGATTCCATTTTGTTCCAGTCCATTCCGTTCGAGTCCATTCCATTCCATTCCATTCCATACCATTCAATGCCATTCCATTCAATTCTATTCCATTCGACTCCATTCCATTCCATTCAGTTCCATTCGATTCTATTCCATTCTATTTCTTTCCATTAAATTCCATTCCGTTCCATTCCATCAGTTTCCATTCCTTTGGAGTCCATTCCAGTCGAGTCCATTCCATTCCCGTCCATTCCATTCAATTCCATTCTATGCTTTTGCATTCCATTCGATTCCATTCTGTTTGAATAAATTCCATTCATAACCATTCCTTTCGAGTCCATTCTATTTGGGTCCATTCCATTCGAGTCCATTACATTTGGGTCCATTCCATTCCATTCCTTTCCCTTCGATTCCAATCCGTTCGATTCCATTTTTTTCCAGTCAATTCTATTCGAGTTCATTCCATTCCAGTCCAGTTGATGACCTTCCAATCGATTCTATTTCATTTGACTCCATTCTATTCCATTCCGTTCCAACCTATTCCATTTCATTCTATTCCTTTCCATTCCATTCCATTCCATTTGCTTCCATTGTATTTGAGTCCATTCCACTCCAGTCCATTCCATTCGAGTCCATTCCATTCCAGTCCATTCCTTTCGAGTCCATTCCATTCCATTCGATATTTTCCCATTACACTCCATTCCATTCTATTCCTTTAGATTCCATTCAATTCCATTCCATTCGATTCCATTGCAATCGATTCCATTCCATTCGACTCCATTCCATTCGAGTCTATTCCACTCCAGTCCATTCCATTCGAATCCATTCCATTTGATTCCATTCCATTCCATTCCATTCCATTTGATAGCTTTCCATTACACTCCATTCCATTCTATTCCTTTTGATTCCATTCAATTCCATTCCATTCCAATCCATTCCATTAGATTCCATTCCATTCTTCTCCATTCCATTCGAGTCCATTGCAATCCATTCCATTCCATTCCCTTTAATTCCATTCCATTCGATTCCATTCTACTCGATTCCACTCCGGTCCATTCCATTGCATTCCATTCTATTCCATTCCATTGCATTCCATTCCATTCCATTTGATTACATTCCATTATATTTCATTCCATTCGTATCAATTACATTGCATTCCATTACATTGGAGTCCGTTCTATTCGAGTCCATTCCATTCTGGTCCATTCCATTTGATTCCGTTCCATACTACTACATTCCATTCGATTACATTCTATTTGATTATATTCCATTCGAGACCATTCCATACGAGTCCATTCTCTTTGAGTCCATTCCATTCGAGTCCATTACACTTGGGTCCATTCCATTCCATACCATTCCATTCCATTCCACTCGATTCCATTACATTCGATTATATTCTATTTGATTCCATTCCATTCGCGTCCATTCCATTCCATTCCATTCCAGTCCACTCCGTTTGATGCCATTCCATTCGACTCCATTCCAGTCGATGCCACTACTGTCCACTCCATTCCATTCTGTTCCATTCGATTCCAATCCCTTCGATTCCATTTTGTGCCAATACATTCTATTCGAGTCCATTCCATTCCTATCCATTCCATTTGATTCCATTCCATTCGATTCCATTTCATTTTATTCCATTCCAATTGATTCCACTCTGTTACATTCCATTGCATTCCATTCTATTCCATTCTATTGCATTCCATTCTATTCCATTTGATTACATTCCATTCGATTCCATTCCATTTGAATCAAATACATTGCAATCCATTACATTCGAGTTCATTCTATTCCAGTCCACTCCATTCCGGTCCATTCCATTCAATTCCATTCCATTCAATGCCACTCCATACTATTGTATTTCGTTCGAATCCATTCTATTCAAATATATTCCATTCGAGACCTTTCCTTTCGAGTCCATTTTGTTTGATTCCAATCCATTCGAGTCCATTGCATTTGGGTCCATTCCATTCCATTCCATTCCATTCGATGTCATTCCATTCTATTCTATTTCATTACTGTCCATTCCATTCGAGTCCATTCCATTTCATTCCATTCCACTCCATTGCATTCAAAGCCGTTCCATTCGATTCTCTTCCATTCCACTCCATTCCATTCCATTCCTTTACTTTCCATTCCATTGCATTCCTTTCTTTTCCATTCCATTTAATCCATTCCACTCCAGTCCATTCCATTCGAGTCCATTCCATTCCAGTCCAATCCATTCGAGTTCATTCAATTCCATTCCGTTTGATATTCCATTACACTCCATTCCATTCTCTTCCTTTCGATTCCATTCATTTCAATTCCATTCAATTCCATTCCATTCGGTTCAATCCCATTCGACTCCATTCCATTCGGTTCCATTCCATTCGAATGCATTCCATTCAAGTCCATTCCATGCCATTCCTTTCCTTTCCATTCGATTCCAATCCCTTTGGTCCCATTTTGTTCCAGTTCATTCCATTCGAGTCCATTCCATTCCAGTAAATTCCATTCGATTCCATCCCATTCAATTCCATTCCATTTGATTCCATTCCACTTGATTCCACTCCTTTCCTTTCCATTGAATTCCGTTCTATTCCATTCCATTGCATTCCATTCCATTCCACTTGATTACATTCCAATTGATTCCAATCCATTCGAATCAATTACATAGCAATCCATTACATTCGAGTGCATTCTATTCCAGCGTATTCCATTCCAGTCCATTAAATTCGATTACATACTATTTGATTCCATTCCATACTATGGCATTCCATTCGATTCCATTCTATTCGAATAAATTCCATTCGAGACCGTTCCTTCCAAGTCCATTCTATTTGAATCCATTCCATTAGAGTCCATTACATTTGGGTCCATTCCATTCCTTTGCGTTCCATTCGATGTCATTCCATTCGATTCTGCTCCATTCGAGTCCATTCCATTCGAATCCATTCCATTCCATTCCATTCGATGCCATTCCATTCGATTCTATTCCATTCGTCTACTTTACATTCCATTTCTTCCGATTCCATTCCATTCCGATTCCATTAAATTCTGTTCTTTCCCATTCTATTCCCTTCCATTCCATTCGTTTCCATTCCATTTGAGTCTATTCCACTGCAGTCAATTACATTCGAGTCTATTTCATTCCAGTCCATTCCATTCGTGTCCATTCCATTCCAGTGCATTCTATTCAATTCCATTCCATTCCATTCCATTCCATTCTATATCTTTCCATTACACTCCATTCCATTCAATTCCATTCCATTTGATTCCATTTCATTCGATTCCATTCCATTCAACTACTTTCGTTTTGAGTCCATTCCATTCCATTTCATTAAATTCCATTCCATTCCATTCAATTCCATTCCATTCCTTTCCGTTCCATTAGACTCCAATTCGTTCGATTCCATTTTGTTCCAGTCCATTCCTTTCGAGTCCATTCCATTCAGGTCCATACCATTCGATTCCATTTGATTTAATTCCATTCCATTCGATTCCATTCCACTCGATTCCACTCCATTTCATTCCATTGCATTCCATTCTATTCCTTTCCATTGCATTCCATTCCATTCCATTTGATTACATTCCATTCGATTCCATTCCATTCAAATCAATTACATTGCAATCCATTACATTCGAGTCCGTTCTATTCCAGTCCATGCTGTTCTTGTCCATTCCGTTCGATTCCATTTCATTCGATTCCATTGCATACTGTTGCATTCCATTCGATTCAATTCTATTCGAATAAATTCCATTTGAGACCATTCCTTTTGAGTCCATTATATTTGAGTCCATTCCGTTCGAGCCCATTACCTTTGGGACCATTCCATTCCATTCCAATCCATTCCTTTCCATTCAATTCGATGCCATTCCATTGTATTCTTTTCCATTCGGTTCCATTCCATTCGAGCCCATTCCATTCCATTCCATTCTATGCCATTCCATTCGATTCTTTTCCATTCTACTCCATTCCATTCCATTCCTTTCCATTCCATTTGTTTCCGTTCCATTTGAGTCCATTCCACTCCAGTCCATTCCATTCGAGTCCATTCCATTCCAGTCCATTCTATTCGCATCCACTCTTTTCCATTATATTCAATATCTTTCCATTAGACTCCATTCTATTCTATTCCTTTGGATTCCATTCAATTCCATTTCATTCGACTTCATTGAATTCAATTTCATTCCATTCGACTCCATTCTATTCGATTCTATTCCATTCCATTCCTTTCCTTTCGATTCCAATCTGTTCGATTCAATTTTGTTCCAGTCTAGTCCATTCGAGTCTATTCCATTCCAGTCCATTCAATTCAATTCCAATCCATTCGATTCCATTCTACTCGATTCCACTCCATTCCATTCCTTTGCATTCCATTCTATTCCATTCCATTGCATTCCATTCTGTTCCATTTGAATACATTCAATTCAATTCTATTACATTCGAATCAATTACTTTGCAATCCATTCCATTCGAGTCTGTTCTATTCTATTCCATTCCATTCTGGTCCATTCCTTTCGATTCCATTCCATTCGAATCCATTCCATACTATTGCATTCCATTCGATTCCATTTTATTTGAATTAATTCCATTCGAGACCATTCCTTTCGATTCTATTCTATTTGAGTCCATTCCATTCAAGTCCATTACATTTGCATCCACTCCATTCGATTCCATTCCATTCCATTCCATTTGATACCATTCCATTTGATTCTATTCCATTCGAGTCCATTCCATTTGAGTACATTCCATTCCATTCCATTCGAAGCCATTCCATTCGACTCTTTTCCATTCTACTCCATTCCATTCCATTCCATTCCATTCCATTCCATTCCATTCCATCCGATTCCATTCCATTCTATTCCTTTCCATTCCATTCGTTTACATTACATTTGAGTCCTTTCCACTCCAGTCCATTCCATTCGACTCCATTCCATTCGAGTCCATTCCATTCCAAACCATTTCATTCCGTTCCGTTCGATTCCAATCCATTTGATTCCATTTTGTCCCAAGTCCATTACATTCGAATCCATTCCATTCGATTCCATTCCATTCTTTTCCATTCCACTCAATTCCACTCCGTTCCATTCCATTACATTGCATTCCATTCTATTCCATTCTTTTTCCTTCCATTCCATTCCATTTGATTACATTCGATTCGATTCCATTACATTCGAATCAATCACATTGCATTCCATTACATTCGAGTCCTTTCTATTCCATTCCATTCCATTCCATTCCATTCCATTCCATTCCATACTATTTCATTCCATTCGATTCGAATAAATTCCATTCGAGACCATTCCTTTCGAGTCCATTCTCTTTGAGTCCATTCCATTCGAGTCCATTACATTTGGGTCCATTCCATTCCATTTCATTCAATAACATTCCATTCGATGCCATTCCTTTCGATTCTATTCCATTCGAGTCCATTCCTTTCGAATCCATTGCATTCCATTCCATTTGATGCCATTCCACTCGATTCTATTCCATTTGACTCCATTCCATTCCATTCCCTTCCATTCCATTCCGTTCCATCCCATTCCATTCCAGTCTATTTCTTTCCATTCCATTAAATTCGAATCCATTCCAGTCCAACCCATTCTAATCAATTCCATTCCACTCCAGTCCATTCCATTTGAGTCCATTCCATTCAATTCCATTCCATTCGATAACTTTCCATTGCACTCCATTCCATTCTGTTCCTTTCGATTCCATTCGATTGCATTCCATTCGGTTCCATTCCATTCGACTCCATTCCATTTGAGTCCATTCCAGTCCATTCCACTCCATTCCTTTCCATTAGATTCCAATCCTTTCCAATCCATTTTGTTCCAGTCCATTCCATTCCAGTCAATTCCATTCAATTCCATACCATTCAATTCCATTCCATTCGATTCCATTCCACCCGATTCCACTCCATTCCATTCCATTGCATTGCATTCTATTGCATTCCATTGGTTTCCATTCCATTCCATTGTATTACATTCCATTTCATTCGAATCAATTACATTGCAATCCATTACATTCGAGTCCGCTCTATTCCAGTCCATTCCATTCAACTCCATTCCATTCGATTCTGGTCCATTCCATTCAACTCCATTCCATTTGATTCCATTCAATACTACTGCATTCCATTCAATATGATTCTATTTGAATGAATTCTATTCGAGTCCATTCTATTTGAATGCATTCCGTTTGAGTCCATTACATTTGGGTCCATTCCATTTCATTCCATTCCAATCCATTCGACGGAATTCCATTCTATTCTATTCCATTCGAATCCATTCCACTCCATTCCATTCCATTCCATTTGATGCCATTCCATTCGATTCTATTCCTTTTGACTCCATTACATTCCATTCCGTTCAATCCGATTCCCTTCCATTATAATTCTTTCCATTCCATTCCATTTGTTTCCATTCCATACGAGTCCATTCCACTCGAGTCCATTCCACTCCTGTCCATTCCATTCTAGTCCATTCCATTCCAGTCCATTCCATTCGAGTCCATTCCATTCCATTCCATTTGATATCTTTCCATCGTGCTCTGTTCCACTGAATTCCATTCCATTCCATTCCACTCCATTCAACTCCATTACATTCAAGTCCATTCCATTCGACTCCATTCCATTTGAGTCTATTCCATTTCATACCATTTCATTCCATTCCATTGGATTCCCATCCTTTCGATTCCACTTTGTACCAAGTCCATTCCATTCGAATCCATTGCATTCAATTCCATTCCATTCATTTCTACTCCATTCAATTCCATTCCACTCAATTCCACTCCGTTCCATTACATTACATGGCATTCCATTCGATTCCATTCCATTCCATTTGATTACATTCCATTCGATTCCATTCCATTCACATCAATCACATTGCAGTCCATTACATTCGAGTCCAGTCTATTACAGTCCATTCCATTCCGGTCCATTCAATTCGATTCCATTCCATTCGATTCCATTCAATACTATTTGATTCCATTCGATTTCATTCTATTCTAATAAATTCCATTCAAGACCATTCCTTTTGAGTCCATTCTATTTGAGTGCATTCTATGCGATTCCGTTACATTTGGGTCCATTCCATTCCATTTCATTCAATTTCATTCCATTTGATGCCATTCATTTTGATTCTATTCCATTCGATTCCATTCTATTCGAGTCCATTCCATTCCATTCCATTTGATGCCATTCCATTCGATTCTATTCCATTCGACTCCATTCCATTCCATTCCTTTGCGTTCCATCCCATTCCATTCCAGTCTATTCCTTTCCATTCCATTCCATTCGTTTCAATTTCCTTCGAGTCCATTCCACTCCAGCCCATTCCATTCAAGTCCATTCCACTCCAGTCCATTCCATTCAAGTCCATTCCTGTCCATTCCATTCAATTCCATTCCATTCGTTAAATTTCCTTTGCACCCCATTCCATTGTATTCCTTTCAATTCCATTCATTCCATTCCATTAGATAGCATTCTATTCAGTTCCATTCTGTTCGACTCCATTCCATTTGAGTCCATTCCAATCCATTCCTTTCCATTCCATTTGAGTCCATTCCAATCCATTCCTCTCCTTTCCATTCCGTTCGATTCCAATCCGTTCCAATCCATTTTATTTCAGTCCATTCCATTTGAGTCCATTCCATTCGAGTCCATTCCATTCTATTCCATTCAATTCAATTCCATTCCATTCGATTCCATTCCATGCGATTCCCCTCAATTCCATTCCATTGCATTGCATTCTATTGCATTCCATTGGTTTCCATTCCATTCCATTGGATTAAATTCCCCTCGATTCCTTTCCATTCGAATCAATTACATTACAATCCATTACATTCGAGTCTGTTCTATTCCAGTCCATTCCATTCCGGTCCATTCCATTCAATTCCATTCCATTCGATTCCATTCAATACTGCTGCATTCCATTCGATTCGATTCTGTTCGAAAGAATTCCATTCGAGCCCATTCCATTCGATTCCATTCAATACTGCTGCATTCCATTCGATTCGATTCTGTTCGAAAGAATTCCATTCGAGCCCATTCCTTTCAAGTCCATTCTATTTGAGTCCATTCCATTTGAGTCCATTACATTTGGGTCCATTCCATTCCATTCCAATCCATTCAATGGCATTCCAATCTATTCTATCCCATTCGAATCCATTCCATTCGAGTCCATTCCACTCCATTCCATTCCATTCCATTTGATGCCATTCCATTCGACTCTATTTCTTTCAACTCTGTAACATTCCATTCCGTTCCATCCGATTCCATTGCATTATATTATTTTCCATTCCATTCAAGTCGTTTCCATTCCATTCGAGTCCATTCCACTCGAGTCCATTTCATTCGAGTCCATTCCACTCCATTCCATTCCATTCTAGTCCATTCCATTCCAGTCCATTCCATTCGAGTCCATTCCATTAAATTCCATTCGATAACTTTCCATTATACTCCATTCCTTTCAATTCCATTCCATTCAATTCCATTCCATTTGATTCCATTCCATTAGATCCCATTCCATTTGACTCCATTCCATTCAGGTCCATTCCATTCAATTTCATTCATTCCAATTCGATTCCAATCCGTTCGATTCCTTTTTGTCCCATGTCGATTCCATTCACGTCCATTCCATTCGATTCCATTCAATTCGATTCCATTCCACTCGATTCCACTCCGTTCTGTTCCATTCCATTGCATTCCATTCTATTCCATTCCTTTGCATTCCATTCCATTCCATTTGATTACTTTCCATTTGATTCCATTCCATTCGAATCAATCACATTGCAATCCATTAGATCCAAGTCCAATCTATTCCAGTCCATTCTATTCTGGTCCATACAATTCTATTCCACTCCATACTATTTCATTCCATTCGATTCAATTCTATTCGAATAAATTCCATTCGAGACTATTCCTTTCGAGTTCATTCTATTTGAGTCCATTCCATTCGAGTCCATTACCTTTGGGTCCATTCCATTCCATTCCATTCCAGTCCATTCCATTCCATTCAATTTGATTGCATTCCATTCTATTCTATTCCACTCTAGTCCATTCCATTCGAGTCCATTCCATTCCATTTCGTTCGACGCCATTCCATTCGATTCTATTCCATTTGACTCCATTCCATTCCATTCCATTCAAATCCGTTCCATCCCATTTTATTCCAGGCTATTCCTTTCCATTCCATTCCATTCTATTCCATTCCATTTGTTTCCATTCCATTCGTGTCTGTTCCTCTCCAGACCATTCCCTTCAAGTCCTTTCCACTCCAGTCCATTCCTTTCCTGTCCATTCCATTCCATTCCATTCGAGTCCATTCCATTCCATTTGATTTCTTTACATTGCACTCCATTCCATTCTATTCCTTTCGATTCCATTCAGTTCCATTCCATTCGATTCCATTCCATTCGGTTCCATTCCATTCGACTCCATTCCATTCGAGTCCATTCCATTCCATTCCATTCCGTTCCGTTTGATTCCAATCCGTTCCATTCCATTGTGTTCCAATCCATTCCATTCGATCCCATTCCATTCAATTCGATTCCATTCGATTCCATTCTAGTCGAATCCACTCCATTCCATTCCATTGCATTGCATTCTATTCCATTCCATTGATTTCCATTCCAATCAATTGGATTACATTCCCATCGATTCCATTCCATTCAAATCAATTACATTGCAATCCATTACATTCGAGTCCGGTCTATTCGTGTCCATTCCATTCCGGTCCATTCCATTCGTTTCCATTCCATTCGATTCCTTTTTATTCGAATCAATTACATTGCAATCCATTGCATTCGACTCCGTTTTATTCCAGTCCATTCGAATTGATTCCATTGCATTCGATTCCATTCCATACTGTTGAATTCCATTCGATTCCATTCTACTCACATAATTTCCATTTGAGACCATTTCTTTCTATTCCATTCTATTTGAGTCATTTCCATGTGAGTCCATTACATTTGTGTCCATTCCATTAAATTCCATTCCATTCGATACCATTCCATTTGATTTTATTCCATTTGAGTCCATTCTATTCGAGTCCACTCCATTCCATTGCATTCCATTCTATTTGATGCCATTCCATTCGGTTGTATTCCATTTGACTGCATTCCAATCCATTCCGTTCCATCCGATTCCATTCCATTCTATTCCTTTCCGTTCCATTCCATTCCATTCCATTCGTTTCCATTCCATTCGAGTCCATTCCACTCCAGTGCATTCCATTCGAGTCCGCCCCATTCCATTCCATTCCATTCGAGTCCATTCTATGCCATTCATTCCATTTGATATGTTTCCCTTACCGTCCATTCCATTCTACTGCTTTCAATTCCATTCATTTCCATCTATTCGATTCCACTCCATTTGACTGCATTCCATTCGAGTATATTCCATTCCATTCAAGTATGTTCCATTCCATTCCTTTCCATTCTGTTCCGTTCAAATCCAATCCTTTCATTTCCTTTTTTTCCAGTCAATTCCATTCCATTCGATTCCATTCCTCTCGATTCCACTCTGTTCCATTCTATTGCATTCCGTTCTATTCCATTCCATTGCATTCCATTCCTTTCCATTCGATTATATTCCATTCCTTTCCAATCCATGCAAATCTATTACATTGCAATCCATTACATTTGAGTCCGTTCTATTCCAGTCCCTTCTTTTCTGCTCCATTCCATTCAATTCCATTCCATTTGATTCCCTTCCAAACTATTTCATTCAATACGATTCGAATCTATTTGAATGAATTCCTTTCGAGACCGTTCGTTTCCAGTCCATTCTCTTTGAGTCCATTCCATTTAGGTCCATTACATTTGGGTCCATTCAATTCCATGCCATTCCATTCCATTCCATTTGATGCCATTCCGTTCATTTATATTCTATTCGATTCCATTCCATTCGAGTCCATTCCATTCCATTCAATTCCATCTGATGCCGTTCCATTCGATTCTACTCCATTCGACACCATTCCATTCCATTCCATTCCATCCGATTTTATTCCATTCTATTCCTTTCATTCCATTCCATTCGTTTCCATTCCACTCCATTCCATTCCATTCCAGTCCATTCCATTTCATTCCATTCCATTCGATATCTTTCTACTACACTCCATTCCATTCCATTCCATTCCATTCCATTCCATTCCATTCCATTCGACTCCATTCCATTCGAGTCCATTACCCTCCATTCCATTCTGTTCCGTTCTATTCCAATCCGTTTGATTCCGTTTTGTCCCACGTCCATTTTATTGATTCCATTTCATTTGATTCCATTCCATTCGATTCCATTCCACTCGATTCCACTCCGTTCTTTTCCATTCCATTGCATTCCATTGTATTCCATTCCATTGCACTCCATTCGATTCCATTTGATTACATTCCACTCAATTCAATTCCATTCGAATCAATTACATTGCAATCCATTACATTCGAGTCCGTATTATTCCAGTCCATTCCATTCCAATCCATTCCATTCGATTCCATTTCATTCGATTCCATTCCATACTATTGCATTCCTTTCGATTCCATTCTATTTGGATAAATTCCATTCGAGACCATTGCTTTCGAATCCATTCTATTTGAGTCCTTTTCATTCGAGTCCATTACTTTTGGGACCATTCCATTCCATTCCATTCCATTCCATTCCACTCTATTCCATTCGATGCCACTCCATTCGAGTCCATTCCATTAGAGTCCATTCCATTCCATACCATTCAATGCGATTCCTTTCAATTCTATTGCTTTCCACTCCACTCCCTTCCATTCCATTCCTTCTGATTGCATTCCATTCTCTTCCTTTCCATTCCATTCCATTGCATTCTATTCCATTTCATTCGTTTCCAGTCCATTCAAGTCCATTCCCCTCCGTTCCATTCCATCGAGTCCATTCCATTCCTGTCCATTCCATTCGAGTCCATTCCATTCCATTCCATTTGATATGTTTCTATGACACTCCATTCCATTCTATTCCTTTCGATTCAATTCAATTCAATTCCATTGAATTCCATTCCTTTCGATTCCATTCTATTTGACTCCATTCCTTTTCATTCCATTCCATTCCTTTCCGTTCGATTCCTATCCATTCTATTCCATTTTGTTCCAGTCCATTCCTTTTGACTCCATTCCATTTGATTTCATTCCATTCGATTCCATTCCACTCGCTTCCAATCCGTTAGATTCCATTGTGTTGCATTCTATTCCATTCGATTGCATTCCATTTCATTCCATTTGATTCCATTCCATTTGATTCCATTCCATTCAAATCAATTACATTTCAATCCATTACATTCCAGTCCATTCTATTCCAGTCCATTCCACTCTGGTCCATTCCATTCAATTCCATTCCATTCCATTCTATTGCATTCCATTCGATTCCATTCTGTTGAAATAAATTCCATTTGAAACCATTCCTTTCGAGACCATTCTCTTTGAGTCCATTCCATTCGAGTCCATAACATTTGGATCCATTCCATTCGATGCCATTCCATTCGATTCTATTCCATTCAACTCCATACCATTCCATTTCGTTCCATTCCGTTCCGTCCGATTCCATTCCATTCTATTCCTTTCCATTCCATTCCATTCCATTCCATTCCATTCCATTCTTTTCCATTCATTCGATTCCATTCCTCTCCAGTGCAATCCATTCGAGTCCGCTCTATTCCAGTCCAGTCCATTCCATTCCATTCCATTCTATATCTTTCCATTACACTCCATTCCGTTCTATTCCTTTCGATTCCATTGAATCCCATTCCATTTGATTCCATTACACTTGACTCCTTTCCATTCGAGTCCCTTCCATGTCATTGCTTTCCATTCTGTTTGTTTCCAAACTGTTCGATTCCATTATTTTCCAGTCCATTCCATTCGAGTGCATTCCATTCCAGTCTATTCCATTTGATTCCATTCCATTTGATCCCACTCCATTCAATTCCATTCCACTCGATTCCACTCCGTTCCATTCCATTGCATTGCATCTATTCCATTCCATTGCATTCAATTCCATTCCGTTCCATTGGATTACATTCCATTTGATTCCATTCCATTCAAACCAATTACATTGCAATCCCTTACATTCGAGTCCGTTCTGTTCCAGTCCATTCCATTGCATTCCATTCCATTCCATTCGAATCAATTACATTGCAAACCATTACATTCAAGTCCGTTTTATTCCAGTCCATTCCATTCTGGTGCATTCCATTCGATTCCATTCCATACTATTGCATTCCATTCGATTCCATTCTATTCAAATAAATTCCATTCGAGACCATTCCTTTCGAGTGCATTCTATTTGAGTCCATTCCATTCGAGTCCATTACATTTGCGTCCATTCCATTCCATTCCAATCCATTCGATGGCATTCCATTCTATTCTATTGCATTCGAATCCATTCCATTCGAGTCCATTCCACTCCATTCCATTCCATTCCATTCCATTCGATGCCGTTCCATTCGATTTTATTCCATTTGACTCCATTCCATTCCATTGCATCCCATGCCATTGCATTCCATTCCATTCGTTTCCATTCCATTTGAGTCCATTGCGTTCCATTCCATTCCATTCCATTCCATTCCATTCAATGCCATTCCATTCGATTTTATTCCATTTGAATCCATTCCATTCAATTCCATCCAATTTCATTCCATTCTATTCCTTTCCATTCCATTCCATTCCTTTCCATTCCATTCGTTTTTATTCCATTTGAGTCTATCCCACTCCAGTCCATTACATTCGATTCCATTCCTTTCCATTCCATTCCATTTGAGTCCATTACATTCCATTACATTCAATATCTTTCCATTCCATTCCATTCCATTCTATTCTTTTCAATTCCATTAAATTACATTCCATTTGGTTCCATTCCATTCGACTCCATTCCATTCGAGTCCATTCCATTGCACTCCATTCCATTCCTTTCCATTCCATTCCAGTCCGTTCTATTCCATTTTGTTCCAGTCCATTCCGTTCGAGTCCATTCCATTCGATTCCATTCCACTCGATTCCAATCCATTCCATTGCATTGCATTCCATTCTATTCCATTGCATTGCATTGCATTGCATTCAATTTGCTTACTGTCCATTCGATTCCATTCCATTCGAATCAATCAATTTGCAATCCAGTACATTCTAGTCCATTCTATTCTGGTCCATTCCATTCGATTCCATTCCATACTATTGCATTCCTTTTGATTCCATTCCATTCGAATGAATCCCATTCGAGACCATTCCTTTCAAGTGCATTCTATTTGAGTCCATTCCATTCGAGTCCATTACATTTGGGTCCATTCCATTCAATTCAATGCCATTCCATCCTATTCTATTCCACTCGAATCCATTCCATTCGAGTCCATTCTATTCCATTATATTCCATTCCATTCCATTCGATGCCGTTCCGTTTGATTCTATTCCATTTGACTCCATTCCATTCCATTCCATTCCATTCCATTCCATTCCATTCCATCTGATTCCATTCCATTGTGTTCCCTTCCATTCCATTCCATTCCTTTTCATTCCATTCCATTCCATTCTGTTCCTTTCCATTCCATTCCATTCTTTTCAATTCCATTCGGGTCGTTTCCATTCCTTTCCATTCCATTCAATGTCATTTCATTCGACTCTATTCCATTTGACTCCATTCCATTCCATTCCGTTCCATCCGATTTCATTCCATTCTCTTCCTTTCCTTTCCATTCCAGTCCTTTTCATTTCATTCCATTCAAGTCCATTCCACTCCAGTCCATTCCAATCAAGTCCGTTCCATTGCAGTTCATTCCATTTGAGTCCATTCCATTCCATTACATTTGATATCTTTCCATTACACTCCATTCCATTCTAGTCTTTTGATTCCATTCAATTCCATTCCATTCGGTTCCATTCCATTCGACTGCATTCCATTCGAGTCCATTCCATTGCATTATATTGCATTCCGTTCCATTCCATTCCAATCCGTTCAATTCCATTTTATTCCAGTCCACTCCATTCGAGTCCATTCCATTCCAGTCCATTCCATTCGATTCCATTCCATTCGATTCCATTCCTATCGATTCCTCTCCGTTCCATTCCATTGCATTCCATTCTATTCTATTCCATTCCATTGCATTTGATTACATTCCATTCGGTTCCATTCCATTCGATTTAATTACATTGTAATCCATTAAATTCCAGTCCGTTCTATTCCAGTCCATTCCATTCTCGTCCATTCCATTCGATTCCATTCCAATCTATTTCATTCCATTCAGTTTCATTCTATTCGAATAAATTCCATTCGACACCATTCCTTTCGAGTCCATTCTATTTCAGTCTGTTCCATTCGAGTCCATTACATTTGGGTCCATTCCATTCCATTCCATTCCATTCCATTCCATTCCATTCTGCTCCATTCCATTCGATGCCAATCCATTCTACTCTATTCCATTCGATTGCATTCCTTTTGAGTCAATTCCATTCCATTCAATTCCATTCTATGCCATTTCATTCATTTCTGTTCCATTCGACTCCATTCCGTTCCACTCTGTTCCATCCAATTCCATTCCATTCCATTCTATTCCTTTCCATTCCATTCCATTCCATTCCATTCCATTTCATTCTATTCCATTCCTTTCCATTCCATTTGTTTTCATTCCATTCGCGTCCATTCCACTGCAGTCCATTCCAGTCCATTCCTTTCGAGTCCATTCCATTCCAATCCATTCCATTCGATAACTTTCCTTGACACTCCATTCCTTTCTATTCCCTTCGTTTCTATTCAATTCCATTCTATTCGATTCCATTCCATTCGATTCTATTCCATTCGACTGCATTCCATTCCATTCGAGTCCATTCCATTCCAGTCAATTCCATTTGAGTCCATTCCATTCCATTCCATTCGATATCTTTCCATTACACTCCATTCCATTCTATTCCTTTTGATTCTATTCAATTCCATTCCATTCGATTCCGTTCCATTCGATTTCATTCCATTCCACTCCAGTCCATTGCATTCGAGTCCATTCCATTCCAGTCCATTCCATTTGATTCCATTACATTACATTACATTCAGTATCTTTCTATTATACTGCATTCTATTCTATTCCATTCGATTCTATTCAATCGCATTCTATTTGTTTCCATTACATTACATTCCATTCGATATCTTTCCATTATTCTCCATTCCATTCTATTCCTTTCGATTCTATTCAATTGCCTTCTATTTGATTCCATTCCATTTGATTCCACTCCATTCAACTCCATTCCATTCGAGTCCATTCCATTCCATTCCATTCCATTCCATTCCGTTCCGTTCCGTTCCATTCAATTCCATTCCGTTTGATTCCGTTTTGTTCCATTCCATTCCATTCGAGTCCATTCTGTTCCAGTCCATTCCATTCGATTCCATTCCACTCGATTCCGCTCTGTTCCATTCCATTGCATTCCATTTTATTCCATTCCATTTCATTCAATTCCTTTCCATTTGATTACATTCCATTCGATTCCATTCCTTTCAAATCAATTACACTGCAATCCACTACATTCGATTCCATTCTATTCCAGTCCATTCCATTTTGGTCCATTCCATTCGATTCCGTTCCATTCGATTCGATTCCATTCGAATCAATTACATTGCAATCCATTACATTCGACTCCATTCTATTCCAGTCCATTCCATTCCGGTCCATTCCATTCGATTCCATTCCATTCGATTCCATTCCATACTATTGCATTCCATTCGATTCCATTCTATTCGAATAAATTCCATTCGAGACCATTTCTTTCAATTCCATTCTATTTGAGTCCATTCCATTCGAGTCCATTACATTTGTGTCCATTTCATTCCATTCCATTCCATTTCATTCAATGCCATTCCATTCAATTCTATTCCATTCGAGTCCATTCCATTCAAGTACATTCCATTAGATTCCATTCCATTTGATGCCATTCCATTCGATTCTATTCCATTCGACTCCAGTCCATCCAATTCCATTCCATTCTATTCCTTTCCATTCCATTCCATTCCTTTCGTTTCCATTTCATTCGAATACAATCCACTCCAGTGCATTCCATTCGAGTCCATTCCATTCCAGTCCATTCCATTCAATTCCATTCCACCCGATTCCACTACATTCCGTTCCATTGCATTGCATTCTATTCCATTGCATTTCATTCCATTCCATTCTATTGGATTACATTCCATTCGATTCTATTTCATTCTAGTCAAATACATTGAAATCCATTACATTCTATTCTATTAGTACCCAGCAATATTTCCTCCTCCACTTCGTTTCCCACTGCCACTCCAGTATCCCTGCCCACAGTCCCACAGCCACCTCTGCCTAATTGGGAGGTCAGGACAGATGTCCCGTTCCACCCGATGCCATCTCCCAGGGTGCAGCCTCCTCATGGGGAAGAGGACTGCCATGGCTGGTGGTGACATGGGTAGCTCTGGCCTCCAGGACTTCTCCCGGGGACCTCTGCCCAGGACATGGTGCAGACAGAGGTGAGGTTACCATAAACTTCTTCGGAAATGACTGCAAACCTGCTGAGACCATTCCAGCACCTAACATGCTGACATCACAAGGTGGGCCCACAGAATGGGAAGGGCTAGGGAGTCCAGGTCCACAAGAGTCCCCCCTCCCTGAGCCCTTGAGCACAGCCATCCAGGTGTAAAGGACAATATGGGGGTTCTGGGGATTCCCAAGCCTGGGCCTTAGAGGTGAGTTCTAGCAAGGCCTCCAGATATCCTCCCCATCCATCCCCTCATCCTGTCTCACATATTGTAAAAACAAGGAAACTGAGGCCTAGAGAGTGAAGGGGCTTGAGCAGTCTCCCAGGCAGTTAGAGACAGAGCCCAAGTTAGATTCCATTTTTCTCTCATTTTTTTCCCCTTGGTCTGTCTCTGACTAGATATGTGACCTTGGAAGAGTCACTCCACCTCTCTGGGCATTGAAGGTTTACAACTTCTGACATGTTCATTCCAGAGGGTTGTCAGGACCTGACAGCCCTTCACCTAAACAAAACACTCTACAGTCTACAAATATTTGTATATCTCTTCTCTTCTCTGACCTCTGTAATAGCCCTATGAGGCTGTGAAAGTTGGTGCTTGTGTCCTATTACGCAGATGCAAATACTGGACTCAGAAAGACAAAGATCACACAGAAAGTTTGGGACAGGACTGGAACTAGAACCCAGGTCTCCCAAAGCAGGGTCCTTGCCATCACTAAGGCTAGGAATACATTAAGACTCCAAAATATGGAGAGTTGCTCAATGCATGCCACCAAAGTTAGAGCTGACCAACCCCAGAATGCTCAGCAGCTCTGGGACCCTGGAGTGGAGGACTCAAGGTAGAGGATGATGCCTAAGTCACACACATCTGAGCTCCAATCCAAACTCCACTACACAGCTGTGTGATCCCACTTTATGAGGCTCAGCATTCTCTAGTACAAAATGAAACTACAGAAGGTACCAAAAAGCTCAGGATGAGGGGAGAACTGCACCCTGAATGCAGGACTGCCAGGCAGGTGGTAAGCACTCATTAGCTTTTGTTTCAAGCACACAAATCATATGTTGTTTTTCATCATGTCTCCCCATGGTGTCTGGTCTATGGCTCCAGAACCAGGAGGCTTCTGATCAATCCTTATGCTAAATGATGGACAGATAGATGGATGGGTGGTTGGACAAATAAATGGATGGATGCATAGATTGATAGATTGATGCTGGGATGAATGGATGGTTGAATAGATGGATGAATGGATAAATGAATGGATGGGTGCTCAGAAGAGAAGACAGAATAAAACGGGAGTCAAAATGAAAATAACAAGATGATTGAAGGTTGAAGCAGATACGTGGAAGAGAGGTACAAGATCCAGCCCTTTGGGCTTCACTCAGCCCCACAACCACCTATCTTGGGGTAGCACTGGCACTTGCTCCAGATTATACCCCTGGACACCATGATGCTGCCGCAGAAGGTTTCATTGAACTGGGGCCCATCATGGCTCAGGAGGAATGTACTGAGAGCCAGGAGAAGACCCATACATTGAAGCTGAAGCAGAAGGTCTTCTCATCTGCCAAGGTCTCCTTACCTGCCATGGCTGCCAGCCATGCCCTGGCCTGTGCACCCCTGCCAGAAGGGGCCCGTGCCATCCAGCATAAACATCCAGACAGGATCACAGGAAGAGATGAAGCTCTTGGATCACTGCAAATCAAAGTTTAAAGTTAAAGGGGGGGCAAGACCCCTTCAGCTGCAGGCCCATTCCCTGGACCCAGCAGTTCAGCTGGGCTGAAGGCAGCATGCTTCGGTAGACCAGTGAACCCACTCCCCACCCTCTCTCCTTCCCTTGGGGCCCAGAATGCCTGGAGTTCATGTGTGAATATGGGTGAGGGAGCATGCAAGGGAGGGACAAGGGGAGGTTACAGGGGCTGGGCCCTAGACAAGCCTGTGACAAAACCTTCTTTGCCTACTTTGGGGCTGAACTGAGTAAGCAGCTGATCCCACACCTTCTAGCCCCGGGAAGCAGGGTACAATTCTGCAGCCAAAATATGTTAAAATGCTGCCAGAGGATTTCAGGATCCCACTGCCAGGCATTTCAGGATCCTAGATTTTAGACTCTTCAAGGATACTGGTCATTTTAGACCCTTCAATGGTCCTGGTCATTACCTCTTTCATCCTGCCCAGCATGTGCTCACACCAGCCCCTCTGCCTCATAGTCCTTCCCACAGGCCCTTTTTCTTACATTTTTTTAGAGAAGTTAAGCTCAGAGGGACTTTTAATCTATCCGGGATTCAGGCATGATGGCCCATATGTACTGCATGGTGACGATGCGCATGGCACCATTCTAAGCATGTTACAGTGATTAACTCAAAGGACTCCATGAGGCAGGTATTGCTATACCCACTGTGCAGAGGACGCTGAGCACAGACAAGTAACTTGCCCAAGGTCACACAGCTGGAAATTGTAGAGAAGCTGGAATGTGAACCCAGAAGCTGTGCCCCTGGCCACAGGGCAATCCTGCTTAAAGGCAGCACGAGGTTATGGGTGATAGCGCTGATGGCAAGGCAGGCTGCCTTGGTTTAGATCCTGGCTCCTGTACTGCAGGACAGCATGGTCTTGATCACATTACCTGCCAGTGTCTGTTTCCTCCTCTGTAAAATGGGGATAATAATGGTACCTCCCAGCATTGGCACTATCTCCAGGCCTAGGTGTCCTGGATCCTTCTGCCCCCTTTACACTCTGTGCAGCATCCAGACCTGCTTGTAATGAGCTCCTCTACTCCCCCACCAAAGCTCTGGTGAATTAATGTCCCTGTGGGGTATAAGTGACTGACAGTAACTTCCTCAATCTCCTTGCAGCCTAATCTGAGATGCCTTCTAAAGAATAGCATTCTAATATGAAATTTTTGTCCTGTGAAAGGCTAATGGGAGAAATCAGATTCCTTTGCAAGGTTACAGAAAAAACAGGACAATGAGTATCTCTAAGAGAGAATGCTCACTTTGAGTGTCGATGGGGTTAGGTGGCCGATACAGGATGAAAGGCTTTCATTTGGCTCCCTGACTTGCTGGGTTTGGGGATTTCCCTGGTCCTGATCATTACCTCTTTCCTCCTGCCCAGCATGTGCTCACACCAGCCCCTCTGCCTCATAGTCCTTCTTCTTACATTTTTTTAGACAAGGTAAGCTCAGAGGGACTTTTAATATGCCAATCGATGTTAATAAAACACAAGTCAAAGACAAGTGCAAACATGCTTTCAACCAACATTAATGAGGAAACAAGACACAAATTCTTTTTCTTTTTATATTTTAGTTTATTTTATTTTTGAGATGGAATCTCTCTCTGTCGCCCAAGCTGGAGTGCAGTGGTATGATCTTCACTCACCACAAGCTCCTCCTCCTGGGTTCACGCCATTCTCCTGCCTCAGACTGCTGAGTAGCTGGGACTACAGGCGCCTGCAACCACGCCCGGCTAATTTTTTGTATTATAGTAGAGAAGGGGTTTCACCGTGTTAGCCAGGATGGTCTCGATCTCCTGATCTCATGATATGCCCGCCTCAGCCTCCCAAAATGCTGGGATTACAGGTTGAGCCACTGAGCCTGGCCCTGTTTGTTCTTTTACATTTAATTTACAATGTATTTGCCACGTTTTAAAAATAAATTTAATTGGAATTTTATTGAAATTGTATGAGACATGATTTAGTCTAAGATGAACACACATTATTATTACTGTTTCAATCCAGCTATGGCACATTTCTTTGTTTTCTCTAGTTGTCTTTTATATCGCTCAATAAAATTTGTGGCTCTGGTACATTTCCTAATAATCATACATTATATTTCATTATTTCTAATTATTATAATGGATTGCATGTACATTTGCTATGTACCAGATATTATGCAATATATTCATTATCTCAATTCTTAAAACAATCATGTGATTTAGTTGGTGTTATTACTAGATTATTAACATTGTACAAGTAAAGAAAATAAAGACAAAAGAAAAGAGACTCAGCAAAATCAAACCAATAAAGACTTAATTAGAATTGTTGGGCATATAATAAAATTTTAATACAACTCAATGAAAGCAAAAAAAAAAAAATTTAAAAAATGACCAGGCAGATTTGAGAAGGATCCAAACAGAAATTCCAGAAATAAAAACATAATTGTTGAAATTGAAGACAGATTTGACAGCAGATTACATATAATTGAAAAGGAAAATATAAACTGGAAGACAGGCTGAAGAAATTGCTCAGAATGAAGCCCAAAGAAGTAAAAAATAAGAAAGAAACAAGAGACATGGAAGACAAGAGTGATAAGATGTTACAACTAACAGGATTTCATAAGTAGAACAATAAACTGTTAGAAAGGTTTTGTAAAAAAGATAATGGCTTGGAATTTTCCCAAAGTGATGAAAAATTCCACCCTTCATATTCAGGAAACTCAAGTTGGACAGATTTAAAAGGAAAAAAATACTTAAATGTATCATCATAAAAATAACGGAACCCTGAAGAAAAGAATATATTGAAAACAACCAGAGAAAAAATTCACATTATCCATGAAAGAATATGGATTTAGACCAAGAGCTAATGTCTTAAAAATGGAAGCAAGAAGACAATGTACTAAGAAAAAATAATCACATATGAAATTAATATATCTTGTAATAAACAGGCCAAATATAAGACAATATTTAAGTCATAAAAACCAAACTAATACTAAATTTGCTAACTAAGAGACCTTCACTAAAGGAAATTCTAAGAGATGTTTTTCAGTAGAAGGGTGTTCCCCTAGATGGAAGACTTGAGTTGCGAGAAGAAATGGTGAGTACTTAAGAAGACAAATAATGTGAGTAAATATAAATGAACACTGACTATACAACATGTAGTTTCCAGTGGATTAAGAATAAGATGAGAAGCAAAACCATAAAACTTCTAAAGATAATATAGTAAAACTACCTTAATAGCCCCAGTGGGTTTTCATATAAAGCCTAAACAAATTCTGTTCACCAAAAAAAACACTATCAGGATCAAAGACCCAAATATAAGGGGTAAAACTATAAAATTTGTAGAAGAAAACATAGGTATAAATCTGTGACCATGAATTAGGCAATGGGTCTTAGATACAACACTAAATGCAAGAGTGACAAAAGGAAAAAACAAACTGGACTTTAACAAAATTCAAAACTTTTGTACTTCAGAGGATACCATCAGGAAAGTGAAAAGAACCCACAGAATGAGAGAAAATATCTATTAAGTCATACATCTGATGAGGAACTAATGTCCAGAATATATAAAGAATTCTTAGAATAACAAAAAGACAACCCAATTAAATGAGCAAACAATCTAAATGAACATTTCTCTAAAAAGATATACAAATGGCCAATCAGCACATGAAAAGATGCTCAACATCATTAGTCATTAAGGATACGCAAGTGAAAACTAGATACCACTTCACATCTATAAGGATGGCTATATTTTTTTAAAAAAGAAAATAACAGATGTTGGCAAGGAGGTAGGAAAAAATGGAACCTCCATACACTGCTGGTAATAATATAAAATGGTACAGAGACTTTGGAAAACAGTTTTGGAGTTTTTCAAAAATTTAAACATAGATTTACCATATGCCCACTACCAGATATATAAAGAAAATTGTAAAAATACGTCCACACAAAAACGAGTACATGAATCTCATCACAGTACATTATTAATCATAGTCAAAAAATGAACACAACTCAAATATCCATCAACTAATGAATGGATAAACAAAACATAGTATACTCATGCAATGGGATTCAGGCATATAAAGCAATGAAGTGCTGACACAAGATACAACATGGATGAATCAGGACAACATGGTAAATAAAAGAAGCCAAACACAAAAGGTCACATATGATTTTTTTTTTTTTTGATATTTGGCATATGCTAGTCTATAGAGACAGAGAATAGACTAATGGTTGCCAGGGGCTGGGAAAAGGGGGAAATGGGGAGTAACTGCTAGTAATATATTAAAATATTAAATCTAACAAATATGTAGGTAGACTGATGGAGAAAAAAAACAGAAAATACACAAAAAACCAATTATCTGGAATGCGAAGGTTACAAAACGTCAGCAGTTATAGATTTTAAATAAGCAATGAGTTTGAGTTCAACCATGATGCGGTATATTGAAAAGAATCAGAAAAAAAGAAAAAGAAAACTTATAAAGCTATGTACAAAACGTTAAGCACTATTAAAGTCTTCCAATTCTACCAGTTATGGAGTTATTGGTCTTGGACTAACTCTCCTGAAAAGAAAAAAACAAAACGAAACACAACAAAACCTAAAAACCTGGATAAAATGGACTACCGTGGGCACCGGCAATGCAACCAAGCAGGTAGGACATGGGTGCTACATTCTCTTTGTCAGAACACAAAGCATTCATACACTCCTGAGCTGGGAGAGCTGGACCAGGAGCGCCCCTCGGCGCTGCCCTTGCCAGGACGCCAGTGGAGCTGGCGGCCGAGTCTGCCGCTCCCGCCCTCAGTGCCGCGGCGGCGGGGGTAAAAATCCTCGGCAGCGGGGATAAAAAGCTGCGGCGGCAAAAAGCGGCGGCTGGGGGGAAAAAGGCGCGGCTGCGGGGGCAGAAAGGAGCGGTGGCGGGGAAAGAGGCGCGGCAGCACTGGCAAAAAGCCGCGGGAGCGGGGGCAAAAAACCACAAAAAGCCGCAGCGGCGGGGGGAAAAACCGCGGAATCAGGGGCAAAAGCCACGGCGGCGGGGGCAAAAGCCACGGCGGCGGGGGCAAAAACCCGCGGCGGCGGGGGCGAAAAGCTGCAAAAAGCAGCGGCGGGGGCAAAAAGCCTCGGCGGCGGGGGCAGAAAACCGCGGCGGCGGGGAGCAAAAAGCCGCGGCGGCGGGGACAAAAAGCCTCGGCGGCAGGGGCAGAAAACCGCGACGGCGTGGGCAGAAAGCCGCGGCGACGGGGAGCAAAAAGCCGCGGTGGCGGGCGCAAAAATCCGCGGCGGCGGGCAGCAAAAACCGCGGCGCCGGGGCGCAAAAAGCCGCGGCGGCCGCGGGGGTAAAAAGCCAAGGGGGCGAAAAGCCGCAAAAAGCAGCGGCGGCGGGGGCAAAAAGCCGCAGTGGCAAAAAGCCTCGGCGGCGGGGCGCAAAAAGCCGCGGCGACGAGGACAAAAAGGGGCGGCAGCGGGAAGCAAAAAGCCGCTTTGGCAAAACCCGCGGCGGCAGGCGCAAAAAGCACCGGCGGCCAAAACCCGCGGCAGGGGGAGCAAAAAGCCGCCGCGGCGGGGGCAAAAAGCCGCAAAAGCAGCGGCGGCGGGGACAAAAAGCCGCGACGGGGGGAAAAAGCCGCGTAGGCAAAAGCCGTGGCGGCGGGGACAAAAAGCTGCGGCGGCAGGGACAAAATGCCGCGCTGGCGGGAGCAAAAAGACGCGGCGGTGGGCGCAAAAAGCCCTGGCGGTGGGGTGTCAAAAGCTGCGTCGGCAAAAACCCATGGCGGCGGGGGCAAAAAGCTGCAAAAAGCCGCGACGGCGGGGGAAAAACCGGCGGCAAAAGGCCGCGGCGGCCGGGGGCCAAAAAGCCTCGGCGGCCAAAACCCGCGGTGGGGGCGGGGGGGCAAAAAGCCGCGGCGGCGGGGTCAAAAAGCCACGGCGGCCAAAACCTAAGATGGGAGGAGCAAAAACCCGCGGCGACGGGGGCAAATAGCCGCGGCGGCCGGAACAAAAAGGGGCGGCGGCGGCGGCGGCGGCGGCGGCGGCGGGGGCAAAAATCCCCGGCGGCGGGGGTGAAAAGCCATAAAAAGCAGCGGCGGCGGGGGCAAAAAACCTTGGCGGCAGGGGCAGAAAACCGCGACGGCGGGAGCAGAAAGCCGCGGCGGCGGGGACAAAAAGGGGCGGCGGCGGGCAGCAAAAAGCCGCGGTGGTGGGGGTGAAAAGCCGCAAAAAGCAGCGGCGGCGGGGGAAAAAGCCGCGACGGCAAAAAGCCTCGGCGGCGGGGGCAAAAAGCCGCGGCGGCGGGGACAAAAAGGGGCTGCGGGAAGCAAAAAGGCGCGGCGATGGGCGTAAAAAGCCGCGTTGGCAAAACCCGAGGCGGCGGGCGCAAAAAGCACCGGCGGCCAAACCCCGTGGCGGGGGGAGCAAAAAGCCGCGGCGGCGGGGGCCAAAAGCTGCAAAAAGCCGCGGCGGAAAAAGTCGCAGCGGCGGGGGCAAAAAGCCGCGGCGGCGGGGACAAAAAGCTGCAAAAATCTGCGGCGGCGAGGGCAAAAAACTGTGGCTGTGGGGGCAAAAACCCGTAGCGGCAAAAAGCGGCGGAGGCGGGGGCAGAAAGCCGCGGGGACAAAAAGCAGGGTCGGCAAAAAGCCTCGGCAGCGGGGACCAAAAGCCGCGGCGGCGGGTTAAAAAGCCACAGCGGCAAAAATCTGTGGCGACGGGGGCAGAAAGCCGAGGCCGCAGGGGAAAAAGCCACGGCAGCGGGGGCAAAAAGCAGGGGCCGCAAACAGCCGAGGCGGCAAAAACCCGCGGTGGCGGGGGCAAAAAGCCGCGTCGGCGGGAGCAAATCGCGGCAGCGGCAAAAAGCCGTGGCGGCGGGGGCAACAAGCCACGGCGGCGGGGGCAACAAGCAGAGGCGACGGGGGCAAAAAGCCATAAAAACCTGCGGCTTCGGGGGCAAAAAGCCGCGGCGGCGGGGGCAACAAGCCGCGGCAGTGGGGGCAAACAGCCGCGGCGGCAAAAACCCGCGGCGGTGGGGACAAACAGCCGGGGTGGCAAAAAGCCGCGGCGGGGGTGACAAAAAGCCGTAGTGGCGACGGGGGCAAAAAGGCGTGGCGGCAAAAAGCTGCGGGGACGGGGGCAAAAAGCCGTAAAAAGCCGTGGCGTCGGGGGCAAAAAGACGCGGCGGCGGCGGAAAAAGCCTGGGCGACGGGGGCAACAAGCCGCGGCAGCGGGGGTAAACAGCCGCGGTGGCAAAAACCCGCGGCGGCGGGGTCAGAAAGCAGCGGTAGCGGGGGCAAAAAGCCACAAAAACGCGCTGCGGCCGGGACAAAATAGTGGAAATGGGGTAGAAGGCCAGCACAGCTTGGCATTCCTGGAGTGTGATGTGGAAGGAAAAGTGCAGAGGAAGACAAAGATGTAAGTAGGCTTGACTCAGTGCAGCTAAGAACCCAGATGTTATCTTGATGTTAGTCTATCAGCTAATTTTTTGTATTTTAGTAGAGAACGGGTTTTACCACGTTGGCCAGGATGGTCTCGATCTCCTGACCTCATGATCCAAGCAGCTGAGCTTCCAAAAGTGATGGGATTAGAGGCATGAGCCACAAAGTGTTCAAAAAATTTATTAATTAAAAAATGTGTATGTAGCCGTCTTTAATCTACCATGTCCATTAGCAGATAAATACTATAAGCAAAATAACAACAATGAAAGAAACATAGAGTAGATACTCTGATTTATTTAATAAAAATTTGAAAATAGACCAAATTACTGTATGATAAAAAAAATCTGTTACTATTGAGGATGAGGGTTAGTGTTTGGAAAGGGGCAGGAAAAATATCACTACTTTTAGTAATGTTCTATTTTCATACATGGTTCTAAGCAAATACATGTGTTTCATTAATCAAGCTATCCATATTTAATCATTGTACTTTTCTGTATGTATGATATATGTCAATAAAATAAATTATATACAGCAAAAATAGACAAAACCACAAGAAGACATAGACAAATGTTAAACCTAGAGAGAAATTTGAATATAAGTAAGTCTCTGAGTGACTGGTAGAACAAACCGAAAAATAATCAGGATGGAGAGGTTTGGAACAGCATGATTAGCAAAATTGACATATATCTCTTTTAATATAGGCAGAAACATAGTTAGATAAAAAAAGGACTTGTATCAGAGTATGATTTCTGAAAATAGTGGAATCGAGTTTGAATCTCGTAAGTACATATAAATAAATGTCTTAAAACTCCTCTTATTTTAGCTAATTAAGAAATATTGTAATAGATGTTAGAAAATATTTTAATAAATTGAGTGGATTTCACACGCTAAGGAAATGATCTTACTTGCATTTGGTAGTTCAATTACATGCACATATACCTATAGGTAGTTTAAAATATTTCTAATAACCTTATATACTTTTAAAAAGCATTGATATCTGTTTGCACTATCTGGTCTATAGAGTACACACACAAAACATGATTATAGCTCTTCTGCTATAAACTTCAAATGTCTAATTAAAACAAAAATCTAGAATGAGAAGAGTTCTTTGCAATTTTTTTTTTACCTAATAGAATATAGGAAAGATAGCTGCAAATATACCTGAACACTTATCTGTGAGTATGGTGGTAGCCTTTTTATTTTATTTTATTTTGAGACAGGGTCTCACTTTGTCACCCAAGATGGAGTGCAGTCATGTGATCAGACCTCACTGAAGCCTTCACATACTGTGCTCAAGCGATTCTTCCACCTCAGTCTCCTGAGTAGCAGGGACTGCAAGTGCATGACACCATGCTAGCTAATTTTTGTAAAGATGGGGTTTCACCATGTTGCCCTGGCTGATCTCCATCTCCTGGACTCAAGAGATCTGGCCACCTTGGCCTCCCAAAGTGCTGGGATTATAGTTTTGAGGCACCGCGATCAGCCCAGCCTTAAAAAAGGCTGACTAGAGATCTTTATCTATGTATATCTATATCTATCTATAAAATAAACGTGTTTATTACATAAAAATATATGTTATTAATATATAAAAATTTTTTTCAAGGTAGAAATATATAAAGAGGGTGCATGTAGAGCCTCGGTCATTGTGTAGTGAAGCTCAAGGCCTCTGAAGAAATGCCCCTTGCCTCTTTTGTCTGGGCTAGAATCCGAGAAGGGAAAGCAGCAGATGCACTGGTTCCCAGGTTCTTGGCATCCTACAGAGAGAAACTTGTTTGAGCTAGGGTAGCGTTAAACACCCTTGTTCTTACTCTCCTGTTTTATGTAATGAGCAGAGACTGTGACAGTCAAGGCTGTCTATTATTTTGTGCAGCATTGAGAAATTCTAGCACCTGAAGACCTCTGGGCCATTTGAGGGTAGGTGCAGGGGAGGAAAGGGAAGTTTGCATCCCTCCTGCTGTGGAGAGAACCCGTGGGAAGCACAGACCTTGTCCTAACTGAAGGCAGACCCCCTTGCTAACCAGCTTCTCATCAGCCAACCCTGGATGAGTTTCCTTGTCTATTTACTAAATAATCCTTATTGCTTTTCTTCATATGGTTTACAGGGACTATTGTTCCTTTGAACACCCATCGTGCAAACCCCTTCCTGTTGTGGGAAAACAGGCTTCCATATGTGTCTTATTGGGAAACACATAGGCAATTTCTATGTTTTTACTGCATCTATTTCATGGATATGGGAACTGAATAGTGCCCATAAAAGGGTCACCTGCTGTTGGAAATTGATCTGAGAGCGCGGAAGGACAGAATTCTTTCTTTGTTCCTGGGCAGCGGTGGTTGAGGGATCATTTTGTGGCAGCTACAGTGGCAATGATGGAGGCAGAATGGAGAGCTCAGTACCAAGACAAGGAGAGACTTGGCCTCACAATGGCAGCATTGCAGAGGTGTGCTCTACAGAGCATTTGCTCACATGGTTTTGGGCATTGTCTCTAACTACATTGCTTCCCCAATAGGTTGACCCATTCTAACTAACTCCTTTTCTCTTTAAAAAAGCAAACTTCATTTGTATGACTTGCAATTGTAAATGACACCAAATGGCCAGTTATCATTCAAATCTCTGTTACTTAATCCTGCCTTCTCCTGACATATGCAACTTTCCCCTAAAAAATTGGACACTTTGTTGCTTACTCATTGTCTTTACACATTTTAAAATGTTGCTTTATGCCCCCAATCCCTAACTACGTTTTCAGTGTTTTGCAAGTGTAGTCCATGTGTTCTTGATTTACATGAAGCTCAAAATAATGGTTATAGTAACTAGTACTTCACAATTAAGCAAAAAGCTCTTATTGAAAAATGACAGAACTATACATAGAGATGACAACATGGAGAGATATTTCCTGAGATCACAAAGTTATGGTATGACAGAACTAGAACGTTGAGAAGAGACTCTATGTTCCCAATCATTATTTCTACCGCCAGCTTTCTATTTTGATGTTAATAATGTTCTTATGTGGGCAACCCTACATATTTGCCAATGTTTAGTTCATTGACAAAGAAATAGAAAGAGCTTCAAGAACACTCTAATCTTTAAAAAATAAAATACCTATAATTGGCCATACGAAAAAATTGGTACTTGACATATACTGAGATCGTTTTATTTTGTGCTAGACAAATGAAGTCATAGAACAGAATGTGCTTTAAGTTTTATGAACAGTGCCTGCGTGTGTGTGTGTGTGTGTGTGTCTATAGATGCATATTAGGCCGTTGAAAAGTTTTTTTATTCTTTCCAGGAGAGAGACTGTCAACTTTTGAACCTAATTAGAACAAGTAGATTGCTTCTTCATATTTTTATTAAGGCAAAGAGAGTCTAGTTAAAAATAATTCAACTTATCGTGGAAATGCTATGAATTGCTGTGAAGTGAGTTGCTGGCTATGGCTTGTCAGAGCAAATATATTGTAGAAATCTTAGGGGAGAATTACTGCATATGCATTAAAATCAAATCATCTTGCAGCACACCGAGGAAAAGGTTAGATTTTTAAAATAATTTCAAAGTCATGGAAAGAGCAAATATGCTCAACAAAGAGCCTAGCAACCCTCAATGACCAATTCCCCTTTTATATAGTTTGGTATCTGAATTAGAATGCCAGAATCTACAAATTCCTCTGGGTGTGGGTGCTGCATTTTGAGGATTTTATTACACTGCCATCACCAAGCTCTCTTTTGATATTCACTTTAAGGAGATAATTTACAGGCAACCAGAGAGCATAAACCAAAGTAGATATCTATCTAGATAGATAGATACATCTCCATATCATTGACAGGATACATTCTGGCCGAGTGTGAGTACAACCTATGGGTGTGGTTGGAGAGAACATGTGTTCCACCTGAATGGCAGATCAAGATTATTCCTTCTCATCTGCTGCAATGGCTCAGTGTGTTAAGGACAGGAGCGAGACAGCAAGAACTGCATTCATTCAGTCATACAGACCAAAAGGAGGAATGTCGCCCAGCCCTCTAAACTGACCCAGAACCCAGCTCATGTCTCAACTGCTACCTCTACTATTTAGAAAGAAGTAACTCCGCCAAAGCAGGGTTCTGGACAAATATATTTTTATTGATCACATACAAATAGATGAAGATGGACTTGGATGTTAAGAAAAATAATACCATACAAAATCAAGAGTAGACAGTCACTCCTAGACTTAAATTAAAAGTGTGTACATTAGATAATTTAATCCAATGTATCAGGTAAAAACTTGAACAAACCTTTTGGCCTCTTCCATAAAATTCAGGGAAGCAAGTCCTCCACAAAACAGTGTCAAAATATAAATAAAAGACTGGCTTAAGATGAAAGGAAACCTTATGAATGAAAAGAAGCCAGATGAGAGGCACTTAACTGAGAATGAAAAGAAACTGAGTGGACAAAATAATTATGAGAAGATGAACCTTCAAATCAGAAAGAGGGAAAAAAGCTTATTTGATACTATGGGAACTCAAAAGAGAGTGAACACAAATGTGAAAATTCCAAGAGTACAGAAAAGTAGCATAACTAAATGAAGAGCATGAGAAAATGTATACAATTTTGAGTAATAAGAACAGAAATCAAAAGTTAGTATTGTATGTTATATTTTGGTAGAGCAACACTGAAGAAGAATGAAAACAAGAAATAATATTAAATATGAACATATGGAGAACAGAGTAATATTTTTAAAATTTTGAGTTTCTAAGTTTACCTAAAATTTTAATTTTGGTTTCTTATGTAATACCAGAGTTATCATGAAGTTATTAGCTAATAACACTATTTTCAGTGATATTTTATTTGTCCTAGAAAAATTTCTATTTTTTAAAAATGTATATTTAAAAATACATTAAATGTGTATATATATCAAACATATGTATCGATTTCTGTTTTTTTTTGAATTGCAAATGAAATCTGTATTTTTGTGTTCCTGGAAAAAAATAAACTTGACTGGATTGTAATATATTATTCATGCTGTAATTCAATGTATTTGAATACTTTAAGAATGTTACATTTATAGTTAACAGATATTGACCTATAAATTTTCTTTCATATAATGATGCTGTGAGACAATCTAAGAAGAATTAAAATTTAAATTCATGTATTCCTACTTTTTCCTCTGTCCTCTAACTGTAATATATTTTAATTACAGATGGAGGAACAGATAGATGTTAGATAAATAGGTATATAATAGATCATCCAAAATTCTTATTCTTATGCTTTTATGTAGTCCGTATTTACCTCTATTTTTCTACATGTTTATCCTTCTAATTTAGTTCATTACTTTCTGCACCTTTGATGTCATATATATAAACAGGAAATAACACATGGTGGCCGGGATGTAGAGAGAGCCACAAGACTTGGGAATACAATCCACAGGCAAGCATGTGGCGATTCCTTTTGCAGTTTTGGAGGGAATGCCAAACCCTATGTTTGCTGTGGAAAAGAGTATGGTAGTTCCTCAAAACATCAAAATGATATTGCCATATGACTCAGCAGCGCCACATCTCAGGATAGCAAAAGAATTGAAAGCAGAGCCTTGAAAAAATATTTGCACATCCATGTTTGCAGCAGCATTATTTGCAGTAGCTAAAATGTAGAAGCAAGTGAAGTGTCCAACAACAGATGAATGGATAAGCACAATATGATATATACATACAATGGAATATTATTCAGCCCTTAAACATGAGGGAAATATTCTGACATATGTTGCAACTTGGATGAAACTTGAGGATATTATGCCAAGTGAAATAAGTTAGTCAGTGAAGGACAAATACAGTATAATTCCATTTGTATAAGGCACTTAAAGTGGACAGAATCACAGAGATAGTACAATGATGGTTGCCAGAAGCTGGGGGGAGGAAGAAATTGGGAAGTATTGTTTAATGGGTATAGAGTTTCAGTTTCACAAGATGAAACGAGTTATGGAGATGGATGGTAGGGATGGCTGCACAATGTTATGACTGTATTTAGTACCACTGAACTGTACTTGAAATGGTTAACAGAGTACATTTTATGTTATGTGTATTTTATCAAAATAAAAAAATAAAATACCTTATGAACATTTTCATTCGCGGCGGGGGGCAAAAAGCCGCGGCGGCGGTGGGGCAAGAAGCCGAGGCGCGCAAAAAGCCACGGCGGCGGAGGGCAAAAAGCCGCGGCGATGGGGGGCAAAACGCCGCGGTGGGCATAAACCCGTGGCAGCGGAGGGGCAAAAAGCCGCGGCTCGGAAAAAGCCGCGGCGGCGGGGGGGCAAAAAGCCGTGGCAGCGGGGGGGCAAAAAGCCGTGGCAGCGGGGGGGCAAAAAGCCGGAGCGGGAAAAAAGCCGCGGCGTCAAAAAGCCACGGCGGCGGGGGAGCAAAAAGACGACGCGGCGGGGGCGCAAAAAGCCGCAGCGGAGAAAAAGCCGTGACAGCGGGGGGGCAAAAAGCCGCGGCGGCGGGGGGCAAAAAGCCGCCCCGGGTAAAAAGTCGCGGCGGCAGGGGGCAAAAAGCCGCGGCGGGGGGTAAAAAGCCGCTTCGGCGATGAGCAAAAAGCCGGGGCGGCGGGGCGCAAAAACCCGCAGCGGGCAAAAAGCTGCGGCGGCGGGGGTGCAAAAAGCCGCGGCGGGCAAAAAGCCGAGGCGGGGTGGGGGCAAAAAGCCGCTGCTGCGGTGGGGCAAAAAGCCATGGCGGCGGGGGATAAAAAGCCGCGGCGGGCAAAAAGTCGGGGCGGCGGGGGACAAAAAGCCGCAGCAGCGGGGGCTAAAAAGCCGCAGTGGGGAAAAAGCCGTGGCGGGCAAAAAGCCGAGGCGGGGTGGGGGCAAAACGCCGAGGCGGGGTGGGGGCAAAAAGCTGCGGCGGGTAAAAAGCCTCGGGGGCAGGGGGGAAAAAGCCGCGGCGGAGAAAAAAGCCCTGACAGCGGGGGGGCAAAAAGCCGCGGCGGTGGCGGGGCAAAAAGCCGCGGCGGCGGTGGGCAAAAAGCCGTGGCGGGCAAAAAGCCGCGAAGGCAGGGGGGCAAAAAGCCACGGCGGGCAAAAAGCCGAGGCGGGGTGGGGGAAAAAAGCCGCGGCAGCGGTGGGGCAAAAAGTCGCGGCAGGTAAAAAGCCGAGGCGGGTTGGGGGGAAAAAGCCGTGGCGGCCGGGTGGGAAAAAGCCGTGGCGGCGGAGGGGGAGCAAAAAGCCGCGGTGGCGGGCGGCGAAATGCCGCGGCGGCGAGGGGCGAAAAGCCGCGGCAGCGGGGTGGGGGGGGGGGGCAAAAAGCCGCGGCGGCGGGGGCAAAAAGCCGCGGCCGCGGAGGGCAAAATAGTGGAGATGGGGTAGAAGGCCGGCGCAGCTTGGCATTGCTGGAGTGTGATGTGATAGGAAATGTGCAGCCAAAGACAAAAAAAGATGAAAGTAAACTTGACTCATTGCAGCTAAGAACCCAGATGTTATCTTGAGGGTATTAACTAATAAGCAGTTTAAATCAGAATGGCACATTCTGATTTGTTTTTTGTATGTTCACATTTGACAGGCATAGATACTGTTTGAAGAGAGAAAAGTCAGTAGAGAGAGGTAACAAACTTAAATATGTGCCAAGTCTAGAAACAAGAGACCAGGGGGATAAGGACCTTTCAAAATAAAATGCAAGATTTGAAAACTGATAGGCTGGGGGATGAGGAAAAGGCAGGTCTTTAAGGTCAATCCCTGTTTTGCTTTAAGTTGTTAGGGGGTGGTTTTATCACATATTGTAGAATATGTCATTTCAGTTTTGAACATCTTGAGTTAAATTGTCCTAACATATCTTATGAATTTGATTTTCTTCCCTGGGAAGCTAATATTTCAAACACTTAAAGAGTATATAGATTTCCAACTTGTATCCAATTTATAAAACTATCTCTAGGCTGCTGATTTCAGGAGGAGGCTCATGAATATTCTCTTTGCAGAGAATCTATCAGGAGTTAACAACAGCTTCAATATTTGTGGACGACCAGTTAACTAAGCCACCTCTTAATGTCTTTAGATGGGAAATCTTAGCTGAAGATATTCAATAATGAACCAACAGTGACTAAAAAATTCAATATTTAAGTATATTTCATTGTAATTAATTTGAATTGAAGTAGCCATATACAGCTAGTATTTACTACATTGAACAATGCATATAAGAGGAAAAAATTAATAACCATCTCTAATACCACATGCCAAAATTATTCTAGCTAAAGGAGTTGATCAGAAGCAGCAGTTGAAAGCACCAACTAAACCAGCTGGGGTTAGTTCACTGTCATTCTCTCAGAACCATCTCTTCTCTGAACAAAACAAGTACAAGAGTTCATTGTGAATCTGCATTCTCCTTGCCTATTTTAAGGTTTTGATGTTGACACTAATTTGTGAAATCCCTCCTGTGGTGTGATATTTCGTTTTCCTTGCTTTCTGTTAGGACAAGAATGCTTCAGCTCTTAATTTAAAATTATCTTTCTCCCTCCTAGGTTGAGTGAACTTAGAATGCATTCTCTGACATATCCAAGTTTTGGTTAATATGAATTTCGGGAAAAAAAGCATACTTAATTAGCTAAGACTTCTTATTCTAGGCTTGACCCTATGTTCGACATCTTTTGAATTTCTAGTTGCATGGGCTGTTCTCTGACACTGGTTAGTGACCTGGAAGCTATATTAATGTTAGGGGAGGTGGTGTATGAGCATTAGAGGTATCCTTGCAAGGAAAGACTTGTCTTATCTCAATACGTCTTTTTTTTGCACACAAGAAAGTCAATGTCTGAGTCTTCTAAAATCTTCCTATTTCCAAGTTGCAGAGTACCATTGATTCCTAAACAAAGACCTAATTTTTGACTCAGAGACATGGCAAGGTAGTGATTCACCATTATAATTTAACAATCTTCAAGATAAAATTATCTCTGATATTTAGATTTTGCCCAATTATTAAGATATTTGGTTGTTTCGTTAAGAATGGAAGACTCTAGTTTCTTGAGCAGAGACTATAAAGGCCTCAGGTGATCATTTTTAATGTTATGCTCTTTTCTTTAACACCTTCAACACAGTTAGAAGCAGCCGATATTCCCCAGAGTTGTTGTGTTTTTTAAACCAAATTCATGGTTCAGTGGTAGAAAACTGGGCTGATCCAAGCTGTTTTCAGTAAACACTTCATTTCAGGTGACCTATTTCATATTAAATAATCTCTAGATCCTGTCTTCGAAACTAACTAGATCAGATAACCTACCCTGGATTTTCTCCTTTTAGGGTCTGTGAGCTGCAGTCACTTTTGTGAAAATGATTGCAATGACAAGATAGAGTTGTAGATGGGGAAAATGTTTTGACTAATTTAAGCATAGTGGTATTTCATATGAGAATTTAAGTTACACACATTTGAAAATTATAATGGAGTCTCTTGGCTGAGCTTTAAAAAAAATAGCGTTTAGGCTAAAAAGGGAACTGCTACCTCTCCTAAAATCAGAAAGATGTTACAGTAATTCTCCATTCTCTAGAATTAACAAGAAGCACCTTTGTGATGATTTACTTTTGCTCTTGGGACTGTGAGCCCGTGTAGTCGTGTAACCATCAATTAGAATGTTGGCTTACTGATCCCAAAGTCATTAGTTCTGAAAACAATATTTTTTATAAATTTGAAAGTGAGAAGTTTTGATCTTGCCATTCCCAAGTAACTCTCTTAATAAGAGGCATCAGCATGCTTCAGTGACAGCTGTCACCTTCCAGTGCTGAGAGTCATCTTTGAGTTCTCCATTTCACTCCCTACACTCCAATTTAGCTGCAGTTCTCTTGGCCAGTCCTATGAAATACATCCATGGCCTAACGACTTCTCACCACTACTACCACTCATCATGACAGCATTCTCACCTAAGTCACTACCTTTTTTCTCTGGATTAGAGTAGCCTCCCAATTTATTTGCTCACATAACCTATTTATTCTACACAGTGCACCAGATACACCCCTTTGAAATGCAAACACAATCATGCTATTCTCTGGTGAAATTATCTCATATATTCCTATCGAATTTAAAATTAATTAAGAATCATCCCATGATTATCAAAACCCTACATGCTCTTCCACAACATGGTTTACTTCCAAGATGTCTCTTCAAATTTTTTTTCATTGTACTGAATTGGTGACTAATAGTCATATTTTTGTTTTTGCTCAAAAAGTCTTGACTTGTAAATTTTTCAGTTTCTCCTTTATCCACAGGTAACTATTTCCTCATAAGGCGAATTGCTTTCTTCCTTGAGTTCTGCTCTCAAAGATACCCTTCATTTTCTACCGAATATTAATAACTTTAATCATTCATTATTCCATTACTATGCTCTATAGTGTATACAATTTCTGTTCCTTGTCATGTTATTAACTAAATTATTTATTTGGTTCAGTAACGTATTCCACAAATATTGTACACATAAAAATTGTGTTATTTTTATTCCTGTTTGCTCAGCTGCCCAATAACAGTCTGAGGATTAACATATTTGTTAAATGCACAAATACATTCTTTCACAAATATTAGTTTAATAATTTTATATTAAACTCCCTATATACTTACAATATGAATTAGATAATTCAGAATAAACATTCCATTGGAAAAAAACTAAACAATTTGTTATAAAACATCCTTAAAAGCATCAGAAAGTTAATACAGCAATGAAGAATTACAGGACCAAATTAAGAATGGTATGAAAGCCTGTTTGTGATGCTTATGTTTGGGTTATCTCTTAACTTAGAGTGACTATAAATCTCAAAAGAGAACTAAAGGGAGAAATAACCGTATCTACTAACATGGTAAGGGTACTTAAACATCTCTTAGTAATTGAGAAAATTGAAAGAAAAGAAAAAAGAGAAAGGGAGAAAGAGAAACAGCGAAAGGGATAATGAAGGGGAGAAAGAAGAAGAGAAAGGAAGAGGAAGAAAAGTAAAAAGGAGGAGGGGGAAGGAGGAAGGAAGAAAGGTGAAAAGAAAGAATGGTAAACTTTTTAACAACATAATTTGTCCTTCTAGAATATGAATGTTGGTCTATTTGATGATGTCCCACAGATTCATTAGTCTCTGCTCATTGTTTATTTTTTATTCTTTCTGTTTCTCAGAGTCAATATTTTCCATTTTCTTCTCTTCAAGTTCATGGCTTCTTCTGTGTGTGCAAATATACTCTTAAATCCCTCTGGTGATTTTTGAATTTTTATCATCGTAGTTTTCCACTCTAGAATTTCTGTTATCTCTTTGCTGATATTCCTACTTTTTAATATTTTTTCTGATTCCTTTATTTCTTTGTTTATGTTTTCCTTTTGACATTTGAGTATAATGAAAAGAGTTGTTTTAAAGTCTTTGTCTAGTAAGTTTGATGTCTGGGTTTCCTTAGGGATATTTTCTGTCAATTTATTTTGTTCCTTTGAATGAGCCACACTTTCCCATTCTTTGTATGCCTTGTAACGTTTTTTGAAAACTGGACATTCTAATAATTATAATTACTATGTGGTTACTCTGTAAATCAGACCCCCCCACTACAAAAACAGTAATGTTTTGTGGTTTTAAATTTTCTTTACTTATTATATTGTTAAGGATTTTTTTTTTTTTAGTGAAATTTTCCAAAGTGATTTACAAAACTGTTTGCTTTGTAAAGTGTGGTCACCGAAGTCTTTTTGTTTCCTTAACAAATGTTAAGCTAATGTTTTGACAGTGATTTTCTTGTATGTCAGGAACCAATCAAACAGGCAAATACAAGAAAAACAAGTAATCATTGTCCAGCAAAATATGTCTCTAGGCCATGCAGACTGGCTTTGTGCTGGGTTCTTTAAAGCCGGCACAAAGTGTGTGTTCACTCTTGCACTGAGTGAAGTTCAAGTTCACTCTTGCACGGAGCTTGCACTGAGGGGAGGGATCGGCCAAGGTAAAAGTGTAGGGTCTTCTTATGACATTTGTCAGCCTGTGGCTTAACCTATGAATACATGTGACTTTCTAGACTCTCCCATGTACGTGAATGATTTTGTATGTCTTAGTTTTTGAAATACTCTTCTCCAACTTTTCTTGCTGTGCTGAAGGTGATCTACTATATGTGTAAACTCTAATTTTTGCCCTAATCATCTGTGGTTTGTTAGGTCTCCTTGCAGAGTTTCTTAATAATGCCCATTCCTTATCTGTTCTGTATTCTAGCAACACAGGAAAAAAAAAAGCCTTTCATGAGTCCTTCAGGTATCCCCCAGACCAGTCAGAACAGACACATAATAATTTGCGGGTAAGATCTTCTCTTGTTCCTTTGGACCATGGACCAGGCTTCCTCACTGGGAACGTGGGCTTCTGACACTTCAAAACTGCCAATTTGCTGGGGCAAAGGCAAGTTAAAAATGTCGTAAAGTTTTCCAGTTGTCTTTTTCTTGAGTCTGCTTTCACTTGGTTGTTGTAATCTTTTGACCATTTTCCAGAGTTTTGGCAAAGTTTATTCGGACAGTTTCTCTTAGTTGTGTGATGTTTCTGTGGGGAAATGAAAGATTGCAGCTCTCTCCACTGCCATTTTGCTGATGCTCCTCTTTTGTCAATTTTTTGCTTCATGTTATTATGCTTTGTTATTAGTTCATGTATTAGTTTTCTTGGGCTGCCATAACCAAGTAACACAAACTGGGTGCCTTGAACAACATACATGTATAGTCTTATAGTCCTGGAAGCTAAAAGTCTGAGATTCAGGTGTCAGCAGGGATGGTCCCTTCAAGGGCTATGAGAGAAAGCCTGTTCTGTGCCTTGTTTCTCACTTCTGGTGGTTTAGTGGCAGTCTTTGGCATTCCTTGGCTAATCTCTGCCCTCATAATCACATGGTACTCTCCCTGTGTGTATGTCTCCCTCTACTCAAATTTCTCCTTTTAATAAGGACATCAGTCATGTTGAATTCAGGCTCATCTGACTGTATCTTAACTTGATCAGCTGCAAAGAACCTATTTCCTAATGAGGTCATATTCAGTGGTTAGAATTTCAGCATCTATATAGAGGAAACCATTTAGCTCATATCTATGCATACATGATTGTAATAGCTATGTCTTCCTAAAGCGTTGACCCCCTTTTTACTACAATATCAATTTTTAAAATCCTATTCACATTTTTAATAGTCTATATTGTGTGTTATGAGTATAATGAGTTCAGTGTTCTTATGATTGCTCTTTGCATGATATTTTTTTGTCATCTTTTTACTTTCAATCCATTAGAATCCTTGCATATCGGCGTATATTGGGATCACTTGTTTTAATCCGGTCTGACAATGTCTGCCTCTGGAATGGATTTTAATCTGCTCACATTTAAGATTATAATTGGTATAATTCTATTTATGTCTGCCATTTTACCGTTTGTTTTATATATTTCTCAAATATTTTTCTTTATTGCTTTATTTTGCAATGAAAGAATATTTTCTAAAATAGGGAACTTTAGATTACTAATGAATTATTATATATTTTTGAGAATTTTTGTTGTTGCTGTAAGTTTACCATATAGGTATATGGAAAATTAATTATTCAAATCATCTTCCAATTTATACTAGTAAACTTTTAGTAATACATAGAAACATCATTCTTATATAAATCTCTTTTATTTCCTCCATTTTAAAGTATTATCACTTTACCCTTTACATCTATTAAAGTTACAAAGCCAACAATACATTTTAGTAATTATTACTTTACCTCTAGAGTTATTACCTTATCACAATACATTTTTCTTCCAACTACCTCCTTTTTGATGTTACTGGAAAATATGTTATAGACGTATTCCATTTCTACATTTCAAATACTCAGTAATACATTATGCACATATTATTATTATTATCATTGAGACGGAGTCACCCTCTGTCACCCAGGCTGGAGTGCAGTGGCACAATCTCCGCTCACTGCAAGGTCCATCTCCCGGCTTCATGTCATTTTTCTGCTTCAGCCTCCCGAGTAGCTGGGACTACAGGCGCCCGCCATCATGCCCGGCTCATTTTTTGTATTTTTAGTACAAAAGGGGTTTCACTGTGTTAGCCAGGATGGTCTCGATCTCCTGACCTCGTAATACGCCCGCCTTGGCCTCCCAAAGTGCTGAGATTACAGGTGTGAGCCATCGTGCCTGGCCATTATACACATGTTATTTAATAAACAATTTATGATAAAGAGAAAAAATGCATTTTTACTGTCTTTTATAATGTCAATATTACCTATACCAGTGCTTTTTTAAAATTGTGGATTCAAGTGACTGTCTTCTGTAACTTGTTTTAGCCTTAGGAATTTATTTTAGAGTTTTTTTTATATGGTAGGTCTGCCAGCAACAACTTCAGTTAATATTTCTGTTTATCTGGGTAAGTCTTTGTGGTATCTTCATTTTTGAAAAATAATTGCTGGATAAGGAATTCGTGGCTGAGAGTTTTTTTCCTTTGCATCTTTTGAATATATTATTCTACTGTCTCTTGCCTTCCATTGTTTCTCTTAAGTCAGCTGTTAATCTTACAAAACATAGGTGCTCAAAAAATAAACATGTGCATGAATATTTACAGCAGTAATATTCATACAGTCAAAAAGTAGAAACAATCCATATGCTTGTTGACTCATAAATGGACAGCCAATTTTCAGCTATAACAAAGAATGAAGTACTTATATATGTTATAATATTGGTGAAATTTGAAAGCATTATGTTAAGTGCACAACAGGACAAATATTACTTGATTTTATTCACATGAAACATCAGGAATTGGTAAATCAATTGGGATATAAATCAGAATAGTGGTCACTAGGGCCCAGGGAAGCAGAATAGGGTGTAACAACTTTATGCATAATTGGTTTTTGGAAAGGACATGATGAAATTGCCCTGGAACATTGTCAATATACTAAAAGCAAGTGCACTGTATGCTTTAAAATGGTTGTTATTAATTTTATATTATGTGATTTTTACCTTAAAAAACAAAAAAGAGAAAATAGCCTTACTCTATACATAATAAACTCAAGCTATGTTACAAATTTACATGTGAAATCCAAAATACTATAATATTTAAGGAATAGCTAAGTAGAATAACACTGAAATTTAACATAATGAAATATTTCCTTAAAAAAGAAAAAAGCACAGTAATTAAAAAGGGAAAGATATTTAATATTTTTTCTCTCCTTTAAGCATGCCATTAACTGAGTAAAAAATCAAGCTGCAATTATGTAAAAGACATTTTCTAAAACCATAAAGAAAAGAAGAAATAAAAAGGTATTTGGGAAAAAAATCCAAAGATACAGTCAACTACACAAAAAAAGCTTAGTCTCATTAATCAATATGAAAATGCATATGGTAGCTGAAAGAAGATAAAACTACAGTTCAAAGAATAAGCCTAAAATTTCAACCCCCCAAAAAGTCTGGGTTTTGGAAATCTGGGATGGAATAGGGTTCCTAACCTGACAACAATGAAAGAACCAAACAAACTTCAAAGTCATGACTTTATTTTTATAGCAACGAGGTTGCCAAGAACTGAGTCAAAATGTGAGGGAAAACAAGCACCTGCAAGGAGAAAGAGGACAGATGCACTTACATAGGACAGATGCAAATAGACACCACTGTGACAAGTAAAGCTGGAATAATCAATAAATTCCTAAAGACAAAGTGGGGCTGGTGAGATTGGGAGACCGCTGACAGCTGCAGAAGTTGGGAAAGATCCATTATCTTGAAAACTTTTTCCCCACAAACCCACTGTGATCTCTCAAGCAATTGGTAAGGAATCCAAGAGAGTCTGTATATGACACACATCAGGGAGAGCAGAACACTTGGGAAGTGACCAGGTCTTGGGGGCCGAGCCCTTATGAATGGGATTAGTGCCTTTATAAAAGAAGCTCAATGGAGTTCTTGTGTGCCTTCCACTATGTGAGGACATAGAAAGAAGGCACCATCTATAAACCATTAAATGGGCTCTCATCAACACTGAATTTGTGAGCATCTTGACCTGAGATCTTACAGCCTCAAGAAGTATGAAAAAAGTAATATCTGTTGTTTTTTAGTCACCCGGTTTATGTTATTTTGTTATAAGAGTCCAAATAGACCAAGATATTCCACTTAATATGTAGGGGAAGGCAACAAAAACTGCCACACTTAGAATACTCCTGATGCTGGGAGTATGAAAACAGGAAAAACAAAACAAAACTGCTCTTGAAGGTGAAGGAGGATTATCACTGAGCTCACCAACACAGCCAGGAAAAGAACAGAAGTGTGAGAAGTCTACATTCCTGAGACCCTGAGAAAAAGTACCTGCATAAGACTGAGATGAAATTACCTACTCTAGTTATGATTGAAATCCCAAAAAGAAAAGAGGGAAAAATAATGGAGCAAAAGAAATATTTTTCAAAATAACTGCCAAAAATATTCTAAAAGAAGTGACAGAAAATCAAACTTCAAATATAGGAAACTCAGAGAATGTCAAATAGAACAAAAAGAAATAAGAATTACATCTTGAAAAATCTTTAAAAACTCAAGTCTAAATTTTATATCTTGCTCCAAATATATAGAGATATAAATAGGTTATCATCAAGATATGGAGAAAGCCATATCATGGAAACACTAAAATAAGGCTGTGGAAGGACTACATTGGTATTAGACACAACAGAGTTCGGAACAAGAAATAGTATCAGAGATGAGAGATAATAGATAATAGAATAATCAATTCTCAAGAAGATGTAAACATCCTAGTAATTAGGGTATGCAGCTAACAACAGAACCTCCAAATACATGAGGTAAAACAGGAAAGAAATCAAAGGTGAGCTACAAAAATCCAAAATTATATTTACAGACTTCAAAACTTTTGTCTTAGTAATGGAAAGACTAGGCATAAACTCAGTAATCATGTGGAAGATAAGAACAACAATATCACAAACAAGACATCCAATCTTCAATGGCAGATACTCTTTCCTTTCAAGTGAAAAAAAAAAACAGTATGGCATATTCTCTAACAAACCTAGAATTTCTAATATTTGCGTTCTTCCTTCCTTCTTTCCATCTTCCTTTCTCTTCTCTTCCCTTCCCTTCCCTTCTTCCTTCCTTTCTTCTTTTCCTCTTCCTTTTCTTTTCTTTTTTCTTTTTCTTTCTTTTCTTTCTTTTTTCTCCTTCCTTCCTTCTTTCCTTCTTTCTTTCCTCTTATTCTTCTTCCTTCCCTCCTCCCTCCCTTCTTTTCTCCCTCCCTTTTCTTCCTTCTTTTCTCATATTCTTTCTTTCTCACGTTCTTGTTTTCTTTCCTTTTTTCTCCCTTCCTCCCGCCCTCTTTTTCTTCCTTCCTCCCTCCCTTCCATTCCTCTTCTTCCTTCCTTCCTTCGCATCTTTATTTTCTTTGTTTCTTTGCCTTCCTCCCTTTTACCATTCTCTCTTCCTCATTTCCTTCCTCCCTTCCTCCTTTCTTTCTTTCTCTCTTTCTCTTTCTTACTCTTTCTTTCTTTCCTTCCTTCTTTCTTTCTTGTGCTCATGCTTTCTTTTTTCTCCCTTCCTGCCTTTCTCCCTTCCTCCCTCCCTCCCTTCCTTCCCTCATTTCCTCTTTCTTTTCTTTCTTCTTTCTTTCCTTATTTCCTTCCTTCCTTCTTTCCTCCCTTCTTTTTCTTTCTTTGTTTTCTTTTCTTTCTTTCTCTTTACTACAATTCTTATTATTTTAAAAAAATTAAGAGAGGGAGACAGAAAAATGAAGAACGCTTTAATCTGCAGATAAATAGATTGTCTGCTGTAGGCCAAAGAATGGTCTCCCAAAAATTTTCATGTCCTAATTCCCAGAGTCTAACATACAAATATGTTAGGTTGCACGGCAGTGTGAAATTAGATTTCAAGTGAAACTAAGGTTGCGGAAAAATGATAGAGAGATTGTCTTAAATGGGTGGGATCAATGAAATCACAAACTTCCTTATAAGTGAAAGAAGAAGGCAGAAGAAAGGCAACCTTGGAGGTGGTGGCATGAGAAATTACTCAACATCACTGACTTTTAAGATACAAGAATGAGGACCCAGCGCGGTGGCTCAAGCCTAATCCCAGCATTTTGGGAGGCTGGGGTGGGTTTATCACGAGGTCAGGAGATCGAGACCATCCTGGCTAACATGGTGAATCCCCATCCCTACTAAAAATACAAAAAATTAACTGGGCATGGTGGCAAGTGCCTGTAGTCCAAGCTACTCAGGAAGCTGAGGCAGAAGAATCACTTGAACCCGGGAGGCAGAGGTTGCAGTGAGCTGAGATCGTGCCACTGCACTCCAGCCTGGGTGACAGAAGGAGATTCCATTTCAAAAAAAAAAGAAAAATAAAATCTAAGAATGAGGTCATGTTCCAAGGAATAAAGGTGGCCTCTGGATGCTGAAAAAAATCAAGTAATAGATTCTGCCACATAGCCCTGAGAAAGACTGCAGCCCTGCCCAAAACTTGATGTTAGCCCTGTGAGTTTCATTTAAGGCTTCTGAACTACAGAACTGTAGGATTAACGATCACTTTATTGTAAGATATGAAGTTTGTGGTAATTGGTTACAGCAGCAAGAGTAAGTTTATATTGTAATTGTATCATGAAAATGAGAACCATAATTTACAACTGCTTTTAATACTGCACTTGGATGTTTGAAATCACGTACATGGAAGTGATCTCTATGTGCATGAGGGAGGATAGCAAATTGATGCCAAAATAATGCAAATGCAAATCTTACACTCATTTCTATGTATGTTTCATTTAATCTTTGAAATTAAAATGAAATTAAAAGATTGTGATCTTTTGATGAAATTAGACTAAAATGAACAATAACAAAATAAGAACTTACTTATATTCTTTATATGGTCAATAAAGAGGTGATAGTGGAAAAAAACCAGATCAAATGAAGGTGATGATTTAGGAAGTTGGAAAGATAGCTGAAACTACAAAATGGTATATAACCAGTGAACACTTAGACACACTTATTGATGAACTTCAGCTTTTGGCTTGGTGAGAGCATAAAATGAGAGCAGCTGAGGTTTGCAAATTTGTAATCTCCTTGTGGAAAAACAGGGGAAAACACATCTCAGCCTAATAAGATTTATCTACTAAAGAGTCTAGACTTGATCCATTTGTCCTTGTAATTCAAAAGCTAATTCAAATACTGATTTGATGTATTGTGTGAACAACCATTGCTGATTATCATCGCATACCTGTCATTCTCTTGTATCTGATATCTAAAATATTTGGTAATTCCTGGACTTTCTCTTTTCAAACCCAGTACGGTTTAATTTGAGTCTTAGAACAGTTGTCTTTGAGAAATTCTTCCCTCTACTGCATCTGTGAATGGGCATAGCATGGTTACATACATACTGTCACTCCATAGAACATTTGTTAAATTAAAGCCAAAGTTTAAAGCAAGAGCTTTAACTTACTGGTTTTACTAATGTTTTCCTCCCCAATAGCCACAACAATATTGATACCCTCACACCTTTTAACATAAAGCTTGGTGTTGTCTGTTTTTCAGGTGCTGTCATCTATATGATCCCAGTATTTTAAAAATCAGCTTCCAGCCCATATGGTGGTTCATGCTTGTAATACCAGCAGTTGAAGAGGCTGAAATGAGAGGATTCCTTGAGCCCAGGAGTTCAAAAGCAACCTGGGCAACATAACAAGACCCAGTCTCTATCAAAAGTTAAAAAAAAAAAGTGGGCATGGTGATGTGCACCTGTTGTCCTAGCTATTTGGGAGGCCAAGGTGGAAGGATTGCTTGAGCTTGGTAGGCTGAGGCTGCAGTGAGCAGTGATTGCACCACTGCATTCCAGCCTGGACAACAAAGCAAGACCTTATCTCAAAAATATATATAATAAAAATAAAAATCAGCTCTCATTGATTTGTATTTAAATATGCACAGGTGATGTCCATGTAGACATAAATAATAATATATCTGACAATGGGTCCATATGATCTTCAAAATGTAAAATGCCTATCTGTGTAATTGACTGGTTATTCTCATTAATGAATATAGATTCAATTCTACTTTCTTGTTGTAGATAAATTATATAATCTAGCTGTTCATTTCACTTATTTACTGATAACAACAGGAAGAATGACAAGATATCTATTTTGGAAAATTACTCTGGTAGGAGTAAAGATGAAACAATGATAGAATTGCACGGAAAACTAGAAAAAAGTATGGTCTTCTGTTCTTCTATCACATCACATACTAAAGGCCTCATAAAACTCAGATATTTTATCTAAAAATGTTATTTTCATCATAGGAATGATCAAAGCATGAGACTACAATTGTATTAAAATGTGCTTGTATCACAAGCACAGGTGCTAAAAAGGAGGGGAAATCATCCTTACTGACATTTTCAAAGTATGTTTTACTTTTCATCAAGATGAACCTCAACTTGATATGATGCAGATTGAAGGAAATCACCCATAATTCCATATGAAGAAGGCCTGTGATATTTTATGGGAAAATAAATAGAGAAAATGCTAACAGAAACCCTATTAAGCACAAAGCTTTATGGAGGAAACACAAATCCAGTGGTGAAAGATACACACTCGAGTTCTGTTTGTTGTCTTGGAACAATACGGTTTAGAGGTGACTGGCGGGTAAGGAGAACATATGCGAGTTCACCAAAGAGAAAAGCTGAATTAGGCAATGCCTCTTCCTGACCATATCTCTTACTCAGGTAACTATATAATTTATTGTCCAGTAAAGAGTATATTAAAAAATCATATTAAAAGTCATGCAGTGAAGTTGTCCAGGGAAATCAAGACTTAGTCTCACTCTGACAATAACGAACAGGGGGATTCCCTCAAGATAGACTAGGACATGACCCCACACTGGCAGGTAGTAGTACCAGAAAAGAACGCATGGAAAATCTTTACCTTATGCTTGAAGTAGGGACCAGGCTAAAGTGAAAGCCAGACCTAAAATTCTATCTAAAATAAATCCACAATCAAAGAAAATATGTGGTGTACAGGCATAGAATGTCTTTACTGGATCATTGAAATAGTAAGATAAATTCAACTTTTTACATTGTTTTCTTTTCCTCCAGTTAGGGCTTGAGGTTTGTCTCTGGAGAGTGACTGTCAATTGGAGCCCTGCCTTTCTGGGGTTCTGGGCAGGGGGTTGTGGATGCTTAACATGTGCCTTTCACAGGACACTTCCTTACCCCAGCAGTGGCCAGGTGTGCATCCCACGACCAGGCCTCCCTCTCACAGAACATCTGTTGAGACTAGGAGATGCCTGGTGACTGTTGCCTAACCTGTGTCCTGTGTATTTCTGACAAGAGCCACTCTCAGAGACCCTGGCCAGGAGGAGAGTTAGGTTCCAGTGTAGGTCAGCTCAGACACATGGAGGCCACAGAACCAAACATGGGAAATCACAGAAGTAGGTTTATTACTCACAGATCCAGAGAGAAGAGGGTAGCTGAGAAGAGGGTTTAGCTGTGTCCCCAGCCAAATCTCGTCTTGAATTCCCACATGTTGTGGGAGGGAACAGGTGGGAGGTAATTGAATCATGAGGGCAGGTCTTTCCCATGCTGTTCTTCTGATAGTGAATAAGTCTCACAAGATCTGATGGTTTTATAAAGGGGAGTTTCCCTGCACAAGCTCTCTTGTCTTGTCTGCTGCCATGTGAGACGTGCCTTTCATTTTGCGCCATGATTGTGAGGCCTACCCAGCCATGTGGAACTGTGCGTCTATTAAACCTCTTTCTTCTGGAAATTACCCAGTCTTGGGCATGTCTTTACTGGTGGTGTGAAAATGGACTAATAGAGTAGTACACCTCATAGGGCTGAACAAAATGGGGAAGATGAGTGGGGAGCAGGAGAGAGAAGAGGGGTCTGTGGGACTCCAGACTTTATTGGGCCCAGAACATTATCCAAATAAGTTTTCCACAGGGCACTAGTCGGTGGGGTGAGTGCCAGCAGGCACATTTCTTGACTGCTGCTGCAACTGAGCAGGTCACTCTGGCGTGTGGGGGCTGTCCATGTGCACTGTGAGGTCTGTGGGGTGAGTCAGGTAGTTTGTATCCAACGGTTCCATAGCTGGTAGTCACCAGGGGGAGGCAACTGTGTAGGGTCAATATCTGGGCCAGCCACACTGAGGAAGTGTGAGGGTTAGAACTGGAAATTGTCAAGGGAATCCGAACCCAGCTACCATATGAGAGAGTTCAACTTATGTTCAATGTGAATGCCATGGCAATATTAAAAGGTAAGAATTTGCTCCATACGTGCTTGAGGTAAATAGGAGAAACCTAGAATTTATGTAAACAGTGAGAAGATTGGATGCGTTTTCCGTCACATATTTTAATACTAGCAGCATATTATATATGTCAATCCATCAGGCATTCAGAAATACATGCTTATGAAAATTTTTTGCACCATCAGACAAAAGACAAAGGTAGAAGACATTTGTAACCCTATAAACACTAGTAAATTAAAAACAGAAGGACCTTTATGTCCTAACATATCTGTGTTGTGAACTACTGCCCTGTGAAATACGGGATTTCTTAAACGTATTTTAAAAATCATAGGTGTCAATATTTTTTAGAAATCCATTTAAATTTTCTCTTGTTATTTTACAATGCCTATTTATTTATTTAGTGGCTCTGCTGATTTTGATGTATATCCTAAACTTTATATTTTCTTTAAAGGATGTTTTATACAACTTTATGTAAAATGTTTTAGTATCTTCACATTCTCTCCCTGTCCTTTTGTTTTTGCTCTTATATGGTGGTCTTGAGTCTTCTCTCTGGCTTTTCAAACCTAGTAAGACTAAGACACTAAAGTAACTTTGCCCGTGGTTTGGTAATGCCTTCCAAAGAACATCCTAAGCTCTCGTGCATACAGGGGTCTCCTTTGAGTTCTGTGTTTTTGAGATCCCGTATACCTAAATTCCAGTACTCCAAATCAGTAATGCTCACTTTTAGTGACTAAGTTTAAAAATGTATTTTAATAGCAAGTTAGTTTAGTGCACTCTTGCTTCTTTCTTGACTGCTTGTATACATGTATATTCCTTTAAATGAATCTTGGAATTTATTTAAAAATTTTAAATTATACTAATGAAACTGTATATTGTTGTGAATTCATAAGTGAATTTGGAAAGAATTTGTCTTTATGATACTAAATCCTTTTTATCCAAGAATCATATGTGTCCTTATATTTATTCCAGTCTATATTTATATCACTGAGTAAATATATAGAAATGTAGATACATACAGCTGTAGTTATAGATACAAATATAGATATAACATGTTAAATCTATATCTATCCCATATAACATATATACATGTTATATGTGTGTGTGTGTATATATATGTTTATGTTATTAAAGAGCTCCCTTAAAATTTTTCTTTTATTTCCCATATAATTTTAGGTCGAGCTTGAATTTTCCCTGTATAAACAAACAAATATTTATACTAGTTTTAATACTGATGTTTAGACATTGTATCTTATTTTAGCATTGAATATTTTCCCAATTATTATAAATATTATCTAATATTCATAATGTACCTGTTAAAAATATTTAAAATTTTACCTTTGGATTATTTTATTGTTGAATTAAAATTCCTTTAATATGATAGTAAATTTCTATTTTATGCTTTCTCTATGCATATGAAAATTAATCTATCCACTTCTCTATCTCTATGTAGTAACATATGAAAATCAGGCCTCTCTTCTTCTAATGGACATACACATGTTTGCATATAGAATATCAGACTCTTTATAGCATTTAAAATCTTTAAAGACATGAATATTGCCTTTTAACAAATATATTTTAGCATGTACTGAGAATCCCCTATTTATTTTTAATTTGGGCTAATCAATATGATTATTAATATTATTGGATTACCAAATTTGGAAACACACTTTCATTCCCAAGGTGGATATTTGTTTGTTTTTTTTTTTTTTTTTGCCAATTTCTTGTCTTACTGTTTCAAATATTGATGGATATTATTTTTATTTTATTTAGCATTTTAGTATCAACATTTGTAATTGAGGTACTCTACATATTTTTTCTTCAATATCTGGCGGGTTTTATAGTTACTGCTATATTGGATTTGTAGTAGACATTGACAAAAATTATTCCTGTATGTTTTATAGCTGTATGACGGAAACTAATATATTTTACCCCTAAATATATTTCCTTGATATATTTCAAAATGGCTATGGAGAAGGGCTGGAAATGCAAACTTAGCTGCAAAGCTGTCTTGGGGAGATTTGCATCGGTACAGAATCTGCCTTGATGCAGCCAGGCTTTCTCTGAGGTCTGCCCCCTTGTCTGGATCTAGGAAATGTTAACTGAGAGTCTGAGGTCTCCAAAGGTCTGAAAGAAACATTTTCTGTCTATTCTCTCTGAGGACTGCTCCCAGTGAGGTTCCACCTATGTAATAAGTCCACTGTTGCTAGCCACGGTCGTTTTCTCACATAACCTTTCTCTTTTTTTTCCCTGTGATCCAAGACCCCATTCTTTTTGTAAACTTCATGTGGTAGATAAGCTTCTGCACGCATCGTGTGTCTGGGTCTTCGTTCTAAGGGCTCCAGTGTACACACATTGCAGAAACCTGTATGCCTTTTCTACTATTTATCTGCCTCCTATTAGTGATTTTCAGGGAAACTTCAGAAGGCAAAAGGGACATTCTCCTTTAGCCCATTCTCAGACAAAAGCCCCCAACATTTAACTGATTCTTAATAGCTTAAAATCACTTTGAAAAATCCATATATTTATAACCTTTTCTTCTCTGTATGATTTCTGGTCAGCTTGGGTTTTGTTTTTCATTCCATTTACTTCGTCCTCGAAAAGATCTATTTTACGTCTATTTATTCTCATTTATGGACATTGAGAAAAGAAAATAACTTTCATGTGAGAAATGCAAGTCCTTTTAAATAATCAGGCCCAGAGAGATATTCAAATGAGACAGCAGTTCTGTCCTGCTCCTCTTTGAGCTGTGTGTTCATCTAGGCTGCTTGCTGTTGCCACAGTAGCTATAAATTAACCAATAACGCCACACCAGACACTATAATCCACGCCCAATAACAGTGTAACAGTGTATAGCCAGTCACTAATAAATGTTATTTCCATAAGCCAATGAGAATTTGTGACAAACCTCTTTGCACCATCCCACTTCTGGACCCGTTTTTGCCTTTAAGAAACTGCTTGTTGCAAAGCTCCAAAGGGAGTTCATATCCAAGGATACTTGGGTCTGTTTCTTCCAGGCAGCTGTCCTCATTGTGGCTCAAGTAAACTCTTTAAATTACGTTTTGTGCTTCAGCCCCTTCCACTTAGATTAACAACATGGATTTGTGTCACCATGTACAGCAATTAAAATGTTTACACTTTTCCCCTCGAGGGCACTGATGTGTTTTCCTGAACACTTGGAATAGCTACGTAGTGTTTCCTGTCTAGATTATGGTTTCTCAACCTTGGTGCTACTTACCTTTAGGACCAGAGGATTCTTTGTTGTGGGAGGCTGCCCTAATAATACTAGGTGTTTCGTTTGACCTCTAAATTTCACACCTCCACCAGTCTTGACATCCCCACAATAACCCTAGACATTGACAAATGTCTCCTGGGGAAAACTCTCCACCAGTTGACAGGCAAAGTTCTGGAAATATTGGAATTGTCAATTGAGTTTGTATGTTATCCAAGACAAATATTTTTCTTTGTTTTGAAACATCTACTTCCATCTACTTATCTACTTATTTTTACTCATATTTGTAACTTAATTCCATCAAGGGGAGAGAGTGCATTTTCTGTTATGCTAAATTTTTGAAGAATGTATTGATTTTTTATGACCTGTTATATGGATAATATGTGGATATTACATGTTTGTATTATCAAATTTCAGGGTGATAATAAAATAAATATTTATAATATTTATAGTGTCACTGTACATTAGTTATTTTCTTTCTTCACTACAGGAGTTTTTCAACCTATAGGCTATTTTTCAATTCTAGGTTATCCAGTAGATTTTGAAATGTTATGATTAAATATCTACTTCTCAAGCATTCATCTTTGCAAATGAAACAATCCCAAGCTCTTATAATACACATCATATAAAGGGCAGATTAGTCAATATATGGTTCAGAAATAATTATGTAATATTTATAAGAAAATTAAAAATTTAGATCCTTAACTCAGATAACAATAATCCAAATTAAAATTTGATTTCATTACATAATTAAAAATGACACCAGAATACTAGTAAAAATGTAGATAAGTTTATATAATCTTTTTTAGCTATAGGACTTTATTAGCATAAATTCAAATACAGGAACCAAAGTGAGATTGAGACCTATAGTCAAAGGTTAAAATGTACACATTATAGGGGCATGATTAAACTAATTTAAAGCATAATAACATGGAGAAATATTGCAAAACATACGTTTTACTGAATTAATTGTTAATATCTCATCATTATGTGAGAACCAAATTAAAAAGTAGCTACACACGCACACACCCACACATAAGTGCAATATTGTCAAATAAACGATGTTCAGCTACACCAGAAATCACACCTGTGTTTTCTCCACAGAAAAGATTAAAAATCACAATAATATTTATTGTACATATAGAGGTAAAGATACTCAAATATTACCCTAAAATACATTATATTTTGAGATGGAGTTTTGCTTTTATTGCCCAGGCTAGAGTGCAATGGCACAATCTTGGCTCACTGCAACCTCAGCCTCCCAGGGTCAAGTAATTCTCCTAGCTCGGCCTCCCAAGTAGCTGAGATTACAGGCATGCACCACCACACTCAGCTAATTTTTTGTATTTAGTAGAGACGGGGTTTCACCATGTAGGTCAGGCTGGTCTCCAACTCCTGACTTCAGGTGATCTACCCACTTCAGCCTCCCAAAGTGCTGGGATTACAGGCGTGCGCCCGGCCAGCTTTTTGACATATTTCAAGATGGCTACTCGGAAGACTGGAGATAGCTTCTTCTACGAGAATAGCTGAAAAGCTGTGTTTGTTGGGGAGATTTGCATTTGTAGAGAAAATCTGCATTGATATAGAAAGGCTCTCCCTGAGATACTCCCTTGTCTGGGTTTAGGAAAGATTAACTGAGCCTGGCACGTTTACATTTCTAAAAACCATTTCCTATCTATACTTCCCAAGAGGAGGGCTGCTCCCTGTGAGGTTTCATCCATGTAACAAGACCACCTCTGCTGCCAGACTCCTCTTTCTTCCTTGTTGTCACCTGTCTTCCGCAAAGCCTGATTTACCAACCTACAGCTCTGTGTTTTCTGTAACCTCAAGATAGCATAGGCGTGTTGACTACCTTGCCTTTCTGGGAGTTTTTATATATATAGTATATATTTGTATATCTCTTTGTAATATACAAATATTTGTATAGATATATTTATATATATTATGTAAACTCCAAGTGCATACTTGTGCACATATCCGTAAACCTTTTCTTCCTGTTAATTTGTACATTATCAGTTTGTTTTATAGACTCAAATAATTAAAGCTTCAAGGGAAAAATTTAAACTTTCCTATAGAGAAAAGACAAATATATAGGTGACAAATAATATTTAGAGTGTAAGACGCTTTTTAAAGGGATATTTGCAATTTGTGTCAAAACATTTAAATATACATTTGTTACTTTAACTATAAAATTTCAAATAATTTAAGCCAAATACATAGTATATGCAGAAAATTTAGCAATATATCTATGTAGCACCTTACTGTGCATTACTGTAACCAGCCGTCTAATATAAAGAATTAAGGTAGCAGCTACTTTTCAAATAGCGCATTTTTTTCACAGACCTATTAAATAAGACAAATAACATTTAAACTTTATTTTTAAATTTGCAGAATAGTAGTTTTCAGCAGATGGTTTATTTTAGCAAATTCCATCTTCACATTGTGCTATGCTTTTGTGAGTTCCAGCTGTTAACGGATAATATTTTACTGCTGAAACTATCATGTGTGATATAATTGCTCATTATGTGCCTTAAAACACAAGCAATATAATTATTTTCAACTTGGAGCAAATTAAAATATTATTAGCAATTTAAAATCTCTAGAGTCGTCTTCTTCTGGTTAATTATTTTAAACTTGTATTTTTCTCTTTATGTTTTTAGTGAGTTCTCTTATCACGGAGAAGAACTCAAGCTGATTATTCTTTTTTTCTCTTCCATCCACCTCGCAGGTGTGTTAATAATTTCGTTTCTCAGAAAATGTTCTTTCATATCCATCTTACAGGATGAGAGACCTTTTAACATCTTCCATTCGGATGTGATACCAGTAATGGAAAATATTCCAGCCTCATGAATATGGTGATACAAATAGTTATCCGTCTAACCTCTTTCAGTGCCAAATGTTTACTCAGTGAGTTACTCAGTTGACTGGTAATTTCTTCTGAAATCACTAATGAGAGGATCAGAGGTCTGGCTGTGGTCTGTACCTCATATGACTCCCAGTGCAGACAATTGTTTCTATGGAGCACAGACAGTTAAGGGATTGACTTCCTGCCTAGAATAGTTTCTTCTGTGCTTCTCATCCTTCTTGTGGAGATTTCAGATTATCTGAATTGCTTTTCTATCTTAAGAAAAAACGCAACAATTCTCCCACCTGAGAGGAATGTAAACTGTAGTAAGTTAGCAGAACCAATCCGTAAAGTTTTTACATTGTTTGTTGCAAAATGCAGCACTGGTGTCTCCATCATTAACCTTTTCTATCCCTCATTGCTCTTTCTTTGACTGCAATAGGATACCTCTAGGCAAATCTGTATTCCCGAGACAGAGTGCCCTTTTGGTGAGCTATAAGCACACTCAATGGTAGGCTGAAATACTAGCTTTTATCTATGGCGAAATGGAATCATATCAGTGATTTTCTTAAAAAGGAAATTTAACTCTTGCTGTGGTTTGAATGCTTGCCCCTTCCAATATCATGTTAAAATTTGATCCCCAATGTTGCAGGTGGGGCTCACTGGGAGGTGTTTGGTCATGGGGGTTGGACCTTCATGAATGGATAATACCCTCCCTTAGGAATCTAAAGCTATCCTCCCTCCTCTGTGCCCTCAGGAATGAGTGTACCATTCTTTATTCACCTATAATTCCCCCACCCATCCTTTTTGAGATATTAATTACATGTATGTTACACTGCTGCATATTGTCTGATGTATCAGTGAGTTTCTGGCTTTCTTATTTTAGTTTACCCTTTGTCCTTTAGTTTGTAAAGCTTCTATTTTGTTCTATAAATTTTCTGATGTTAGGGTAAAATGCATTACTTATTCTATCTCATGGAATTTTTATTTCAAATATTTATTTTTCATCTATACATGTCACATTTTTCATTTTATAACTTCTATTTTTCTCCTATGTTCAATTTTCATTTAAGTACCTTGACATATATATGTATTTATCTATATGTATTTATAAAATATATTTACTTTAAGGACCTTGAAATTTCCTTCTCTGTCATTTATAAATGACTTATTTTTATCCTGTCAATATATGTCTTAATTATATATATCTTACGGCTTCTTTGCATGTCAGAGATTTTTGGGTATTTTGGTGTTATGCTATTGAAGATCTAGATTTGATTGGCTACCTTTGAACAATGTTGTGGCAGGCAGTTCAGTAACTTCAGGATGAGTATTTGTCTGTTGTTGTTTTAAATCTTCTCTTTAAACTTTGTTGAGTTAGTCTAGAGCCATCTGTAATTTGGAGCTAAATGAGCACTGTCACTAGGGCATGAACCTCCAGTGGTCTTTACTGAATATCCTGGAGGTACAGAGGGGATTCCCTTCTCTGGCTGGTCAGAGCTAACGTGTCTTCCTGTCATGTGATGCCAGGGAAATGTTCTTCTTCCAACTCCCTGGTAGAGTCCTTTGCTGAGCTCCTTAGAATTTCATCCTATGTACATTTGGCTTAGGGACTTGGGAGAATCCTTAGGCTGATTCTTGGTTCCTTTTTCTGTAAACGTTCTCTTCTACTACACATTCCAGCTGCTTAACCTTTTTTGATTTTTATCTGGTTCCTCAGTGCAATGACAATGTCTGCTTTCTCTGGGATTCCTCTCTACTGCTGTCACGGAGAATCTGGGAATAAAGCAGGACTCATTCTGGCTCCTTCTCTTCTCTTGCAGAGCACAGTCCTGTGCTGCCTGATGTTCAGTACTTCAAAAAAAAAGTTTCATATATTTTGTCCAGTTTACTATTCTTTAACTCTAAAAGTGTAACTCCGGTCCCAGTTACAGCATCATGTTCTGTAACTCTACTCCTTGTTGCTTCATTCTGCCATTGTCTGGTATGATCTCCCCTTTCCCTTCTGTAATCAGGCCAAGAGCATAATATAATATTAGTTATAACTGCACAGGTTGCCTCCGTTGTGTAAAAAAATCACTGAGACTTAACTGTGTCCAACTTTTAAAATGTGAATATAAGTACAACTAAAGCTATATTTTGGTTAATATTTGCATTGCATGCTTTTCCATTATTTACTTTCAACATATGTGAAATATGAATATAAATTATTAAAACTTTAAGAGAGTCCATTTAAAAAATCTGGTCTGGTTATGTTTTACCTGGTTTAATACAATGTGCGTTCTTGAATTCAGAGTCTGATATAATTGGTACATCTGTCTATTTGCAAAAAAAAAAAAAAACTTGACAATATTTTAAAATTAATTTATCCAACTCACAACTTATATACTTCTGCCGTTGTATGGAAGATACATTTTAAACTTTATGAGATAGCATTCTGTTACACAGCCAATATCCAATTAAATTTCTCTCTATGTTTATTTCTTTCATTAAAAAATTGTTCTTCTAACTGCAAACTTTCATCAGGGATCATGGCTCTTCTACCTGAAGAATAATCTTTAGTATTTCTTTTCCTGTAGGTCTGCTTGGGAGAAATTCTTTATTGTATCTTTGCTTTTGATGGATATGTCCACCAAGCAGACAGTTCTAGGTCAGCACTTATTTTATTTCAGGACTTGAAAGATATCAGTACCTCACTTGTTGGCTTTCGTTGTTTCATTTGAGAAAGTTGTTATCAGTCAACTCTTTCTCTTTGTAGTTAGCCCAATTTTTTATCAAGTGCTCTTTACATTTTTCTTTTACTTTTCAGAAATTGTCCCATTATGTTTCTAGATGTGTCCTCTGTGTGTGTTTTCCTTTGCTTTGAAAAGCCTCCTGAACCTGTCGTTTAATATTATTGGTCAATTTTGATAAAACCTCTAACATTGCCACTTAAAATGCTGTTCAGACAAGCTGTTTTCTCCTTCTTAGATTTCAACGTGTTAGATTATTACTCTGTCGTTCATATTTTTTAAATGACCTTTCTCTACAATTTTTTAGGTTGGTTAATCTGTATTAGTGTATATTTTGTTATTTTATTCTATTTTATTTTATTATTATACCTTAAGTTTTAGGATACATGTGCACCATGTGCAAGTTTGTAACATAAGTGTTCATGTGTCATGTTGGTGTGCTGCACCCATTAACTCGTCATTCAGCATTAGGTATATCTCCTAATGCTATCCCTCCCCACTCACCCCACCCCACAACAGTCCCCGAATTGTGATGTTCCCCTTCATGTGTCCATGTGTTCATATTGTTCAATACCCACCTATGAATGATAACATGTGGTGTTTGGTTTTTTGTCCTTGCGAGAGTTTACTGAGAATGATGATTTCCAGTTTCATCCATGTCCCTACATAGGACAAGAACTCATCATTTTTTGTGGCTGCATAGTATTCCATGGTGTATATGTGACACATTTTCTTAATCCAGTCTATCATTGTTGGACATTTGGGATAGTTCCAAGTCTTTGCTATTGTGAGTACTGCCACAATAAACATACGTGTGCATGTGTCTTTATTGCAGCATGATTTATAGTCCTTTGTGTATATATCCAGTAATGGAATGGTTGGGTCACATGGTATTTCTAGTTCAAGATACTTGAGGAATCGCCACACTGACTTCCACAATAGTTGAACTAGTTTACCGTCCCACCAACAGTGTAAAAGTGTTCCTATTTCTCCACATCCTCTCCAGCACCTGCCGTTTCCTGACTTTTTAATGATCGCCATTCTAACTGGTGTGAGATGGTATCTCATTGTGGTTTTGAATTGCATTTCTCTGGTGGCCAGTGATGATGAGCATTTTTTCATGTGTTTTTTGGCTGCATAAATGTCTTCTTTTGAGAAGTGTCTGTTCGTGTCCTTCAACCACTTTTTGATGGGGTTGTTTGTGTTTTAATTGTAAATTTGTTTGAGTTCATTGTAGATTCTAGTTATTAGCCCTTTGTCAGATGAGTAGGTTACAAAAATTTTCTCCCATTTTGTAGGTTGCCTGTTCACTCTGATGGTAGTTTCTTTTGCTGTGCAGAAGCTCTTTAGTTTAATTAGATCCCATTTGTCAATTTTGGCTTTTGTTCCCATTGCTTTTTGTGTTTTAGACATGAAGTCCTTGCCCAGGCCTATGTCCTGAATGGTATTGCCTAGGTTTTCTTCTAGGGTTTTTATGATTTTAGGTCTAACATGTAAGTCTTTGATCCAACTTGAATTAATTTTTGTATAAGGTGTAAGGAAGGGATCCAGTTTCAGCTTTCTACATATGGCTAGCCAGTTTTCCCAGCACCATTTATTAAATAGGGAATCCTTTCCCCATTGCTTGTTTTTGTCAGGTTTGTCAAAGATCAGACAGTTGTAGCTATGCGGCATTATTTCTGCGGGCTCTGTCCTGTTCCATTGATCTGTGTCTGTGTTTTGGTACCAGTACCATGCTGTTTTGGTTACTGTAGCCTTGTAGTATAGTTTGAAGTCAGGTAGCGTGATGCCTCCAGCTTTGTTCTTTTGGCTTAGGATTGACTTGGTGATGTGGGCTCTTTTTTGGTTCCATATGTACTTTAAAGTCGTTTTTTCGAATTCTGTGAAGAAAGTCATTGGTAGTTTGATGGGGATGGCATTGAATCTATAAATTACCTTGGGCAGTATGGCCATTTTCACGATATTGATTCTTCCAACCCAAGAGCATGGAATGTTCTTCCATTTGTTTGTATCCTCTTTTATTTCCTTGAGCAGTGGTTTGCAGTTCTCCTTGAAGATGTCTATCATGTCCCTTGTAAGTTGGGTTCCTAGGTATTTTATTCTGTTTGAAGCAATTGTGAATGGGAGTTCCCTCATGATTGGGCACTCTGTTTGTCTGTTATTGGTGTACAAGAATGCTTGTGATTTTTGTACATTGATTTTGTATCCTGAGACTTTGCTGAAGTTGCTTATCAGCTTAAGGAGATTTTGGGCTGAGACAATGGGGTTTTCTAGATATACAACCATGTCATCTGCAAACGGGGACAATTTGAGTTCCTCTTTTCCTAATTGAATACCCTTTGTTTCTTTCTCCTGCCTGATTGCCCTGGCCAGAACTTCCAACACTATGTTGAATAGGAGTGGTGAAAGAGGACATCCCTGTCATGTGCCAGTTTTCAAAAGGAATGCTTCCAGTTTTTGCCCATTCAGTATGATATTGGCTGTGGGTTTTTCATAGATAGCTCTTATTATTTTGAGATACGTCCCATCAATACCTAATTTATTGAGAATTTTTAGCATTAAGGGCTGTTGAATTTTGTCAAAGGCCCTTTCTTCATCTCTTGAGATAATCATGTGGTTTTTGTTCTTGGTTAGGTTTATATGCTGGATTACGTTTATTGATTTGCATATGTTGAACCAGCCTTGCATCCCAGGGATGAAGCCCACTTGATCATGGTGGATAAGCTTTTTGATGTGCTGCTGGATTTAGTTTGCCAGTATTTTATTGAGGATTTTTGCATCAATGTTCATGAAGGGTATTGGTCTAAAATTCTCTTTTTTTGTTGTGTCTCTGCCCGGCTTTGGTATCAGGATGATGCTGGCCTCATAAAATTAGTTGAGAGGAATCCTTATTTTTCTATTGATTGGAATAGTTTCAGAAGGAATGGTACCAGTTCCTCCTTGTACCTCTGGTAGAATTCTGCTGTGAATCCATCTGGTCCTGGACTCTTTTTGGTTGGTAAGCTATTGATTATTGCCACAGTTTCAGAGCCTGTTATTGGTCTATTCAGAGATTCAACTTCTTCCTGGTTTAGTCTTGGGAGAGTGTATGTGTCGAGGAATTTATCCATTTCTTCTAGATTTTCTAGTTTATTTGCATGGAGGTGTTTGTAGTTTTCTGTGATGGTAGATTGTATTTCTGTGGGATCAGTGGTGATAACCCCTTTATCATTTTTTGTTACGTCTATTTGATTCTTCTCTCTTTTCTTCTTTATTAGTCCTGCTAGTGGTCTATCAATTTTTTTGATCTTTTCAAAAAACCAGCTCCTGGATTCATTAATTTTTTGGAGGGTTTTTTGTGTCTCTATTTCCTTCAGTTCGGCTCTGATTTTAGTTATTTCTTGCCTTCTGCTAGCTTTTGAATGTGTTTGCTCTTGCTTTTCAAGTTCTTTTAATTGTGATGTTAGGGTGTCAATTTTGAATCTTTCCTGCTTTCTCTTGTGGGCATTTAGTGCTATAAATTTCCCTCTACACACTGCTTTGAGTGTGTCCCAGAGATTCTGGTATGTTTTGTCTTTGTTCTTGTTGGTTTCAAAGAACATCTTTATTTCTGCGTTCATTTTGTTATGTACCCAGTGGTCATTCCGGAGCAGGTTGTTCATTTTCCATGTAGTTGAGCGGTTTTCAGTGAGTTTCTTATTCCTGAGTTCTAGTTTGATTGCACTGTGGTCTCAGACACAGTTTGTTATAATTTCTGTTCTTTTACGTTTGCTGAGGAGAGCTTTACTTCCAACTATGTGATCAAGTTTGGAATGGGTGTGAAGTGGTGCTGAAAAAAATGTATATTCTCTTGATTTGGGGTGGAGAGTTCCGTAGATGTCTATTAGGTGTGCTTGGTGCAGAGCTGGGTTCAATTCCTGGGTGTCCTTGTTAACTTTCTGTCTCATTGATCTGTCTAATGTTGACAGTGGCATGTTAAAATCTCCCATTATGACTGTGGGGGAGTCTAAGTCTCTTTGTAGGTCACTCAGGACTTGCTTCATGAATCTGGGTGCTCCTGTATTGGGTTCATGTATATTTAGGATAGTTAGCTCTTCTTGTTGAATTGATCCCTTTACCATTATGTAAAGACCTTCTTTGTCTCTTTTGATCTTTGTTGGTTTAAAGTCTATTTTATCACAGACTAGGATTGCAACCCCTGCCTTTTTTTGTTTTCCATTTGCTTGGTAGATCTTCCTCCATCCCTTTATTTTGAGTCTATGTGTGTCTCTGCACGTGAGATGGGTTTCCTGAATACAGCACACTGATGGGTCTTGTCTCCTTATCCAATTTGCCAGTCTGTGTCTTTTAATTGGAGCATTTAGCCCATTTACATTTAAAGTTAATATTGTTATGTGTTAATTTGATCCTGTCATTATGATGTTAGCTGGTTATTTTGCTCGTTAGTTGATGCAGTTTTTTCCTAGTCTCAATGGTCTTTACAATTTGGCATGTTTTTGCAGTGGCTGGTACCAGTTGTTCCTTTCCATGTTTAGTGCACCCTTCAGGAGCTCTTTTAGGGCAAGCAAATCTCTCAGCATTTGCTTGTCTGTAAAGTATTTTATTTCTCCTTCACTTATGAAGCTTAGTTTGGCTGGATATGAAATTCTGGGTTGAAAATTATTTTCTTTCAGAATGTTGAATATTGGCCCCCACTCTCTTCTGGCTTGAAGAGTTTCTGCCGAGAGATCAGCTGTTAGTCTGATGGGCTTCCCTTTGTGGGTAACCCGAACTTTCTCTCTGGCTGCCCTTAACATTTTTTCCGTCATTTCAACTTTGGTGAATTTGACAATTATGTGTCTTGGAGTTTCTCGTCTTGAGGAGTATCTTTGTGGCGTTCTCTGTGTTTCCTGAATCTGAATGTTGGCCTACCTTGCTAGATTGGGGAAGTCCTCCTGGATAATATCTTGCAGAGTGTTTTCCAACTTAGTTCCATTCTCCCTGTCACTTTCAGGTACACCAATCAGACGTAGGTTTGGTCTTTTCACATAGTCCCATAATTCCTGGAGGCGTTGTTCGTTTCTTTTTATTCTTTTTTCTCTAAACTTCCCTTCTCCCTTCATTTCATTCATTTCATCTTCCATCACTGATACCCTTTCTTCCAGTTGGTTGCATCGGCTCCTGAGGCTTCTTCCTTCTTCACGTAGTACTCAAAACTTGGCTTTCACCTCCATCAGATCCTTAAAGCATTTCTCTGCATTGGTTATTCCAGTTATACATTCGTCTAATTGTTTTTCAAAGTTTTTAACTTCTTTGCTATTGGTTGGAATTTCCTCCTGTAGCTTGCAGTAGTTTGATCCTCTGAAGCCTTCTTCTCTCAAATCGTCAAAGTTATTCTCTGTCCAGTTTTGTTCCGTTGCTGGCGAGGAACTGCGTTCCTTTGGAGAAGGAGAGGCACTCTGTTTTTTAGAGTTTCCAGTTTTTCTGCTCTGTTTTCTCCCCATCTTTGTGGTTTTATCAACTTTTGGTCTTTGATGATGTTGATGTACAGATGGGTTTTTGGTGTGGGTGTCCTTTCTGTTTGTTGGTTTTGCTTCTAACAGACAGGACCCTCAGCTGCAGGTCTGTTGGAGTTTACTAGAGGTCCACACCAGACCCTGTTTGCCTGGGTATCAGCAGCGGTGGCTGCAGAACAGCAGATTTTCATGAACCACAAATTCAGCTGTCTGATCATTCCTCTGGAAGTTTGGTCTCAGAGGACTACCTGGCCGAGTGAGGTGTCAGTCTGTCCCTACAGGGGGGTGCCTCCCAGTTAGGCTGTTCGGGGTTCAGTGACCCACTTTAGGAGTCAGTCTGCCCAGTCTCAGATCTCCAGTTGTGTGCTGGGAGAACCACTACTCTCTTCAAAGCTGTCAGACAGGGACATTTAAGTCTGCAGAGGTTACTGCTGACTTTTTGTGTGTCTGTGCCCTGCCCCCAGAGGTGGAGCCTACAGAGGCAGGCAGGCCTCCTGGAGCTTTTGTGAGCTCCACCCAGTTCCAGCTGCCTGGCTGCTTTGTTTACCTAAGAAAGACAGGGCAATGGCGGGCCCCACTCCCCCAGCCTTGCTGCCGCCTTGCAGTTTGATCTCAGAGTGCCGTGCTAGCAATCAGCAAGACTCCATTGGCATAAGACCCTCTGAGCCAGGTGCGGGACACAATCTCCTGGTGTGCCGTTTTCCAAGCCTGTTGGAAAAGTGCAGTATTAGGGTGAGAGTGACCCGATTTTCCAGGTGCCATCTGTCACCCCGTTCTTTGACTAGGAAAGGGAACTTCCTGACCCCTTGTGCTTCCTGAGTGAGGCAATGCCTCGCCCTGCTTTGGCTCCCACACGGTGGGCTGCACCCACTGTCCTGCACCCACTGTTTGGCACTCCCTTAGTGAGATGAACCTGGTACCTCAGATAGAAATGCAGAAATCACCCGTCTTCTGTGTC
>NC_000017.11:26721376-26735204 GCF_000001405.40 Homo sapiens | reverse complement strand
GCTGGGAGCTGTAGACTGGAGCTGCTCCTATTCGGCCAGTCTTGGCTCCAGCCCTCATTTCATTATTTCATCATTTCATCATTTCACTTCATTTCATCATTTCATTTCATCATTTCCCACCATTTCTTCATTTCATCATTTCATCATTTCGTTTCTTTTCACCATTTCACATCATCATTTCATTTCAGCATTTCATTTCATTTCCTCATTTCATTGCACCATTTCATCATTTCATCATTTCATTTCATCATTCCATTTCATCATTTCATCATTTCATTTAATCTCATCATTTCATTTCATCATTTCATTTCATTTCAGCATTTCATTTCATCATTTCACCATTTCATTTCATCTCATCATTTCATTTCATCATTTTATCATTTCATTTCATCATTTCATTTCATTTCATCATTTCATTTCATTTCATGTCATCATTTCATCATTTCATTTCATTTCATTTCAGTGATACATGTATTTAAGTGCTAATGTGATGCCCAGGAAACACCCTATTTCCCTTTGTAAAACACCTCCTTCAACAAAACTCAACCTCTCATGGCTGGCTAAGTCTACAGGGATACCAGCCTCTCTTCAACCACCCAATTTGATTCAGCACCTCAAACAGCACCTCAGTTTCATAAAAACCTAAAACATAAACACAACACTTGGTTGTAAGTGAGCCAACAGTTTCTTGTCTCTTTCTCTGCTCATGGCTTAAGGCTATGTCTCCCCAACTACATTCAGTGAAAGAAAAGATCCCCTGGACAAATAAGTTTGAGAACTGTTGCAGGACTTCTGAGAACCTTCAAAACACAAATCCTCAGCCACAGGGATCTTCAGGAGGGAGATGGCTGATGCAGCACAACTTTCTTTCACAGGAGCATCTTGCAGAATACAGTATGAGATGCAGAAAGGCTGCATTGAGTCTTTTTAAGGGCCAGGGCCTTTGTGGCTGTGGGATAGGAGCTCTCCAGATAGCATCTAATGAGTAGGAACATTCAGGTTGCTTTTTTTTTCCTTATTGGCAAAACTGTGTGTGCATCATGAATGAAGCCAGTCTCCCTTATCCATATCAAAACTAAACCCAAATTAATTGGCTAAATTGGGACTCAACACCTCCAGGAGCCATGCAGAAGAAAGCCCCACCACACTTTAAAGTAGCTTACCTTATCATATTTGATGAAAGCAAAACGCTTATGACCAGTATGCTGCTAATACAAGTCAACAGATAATGCTGTATGAAAAATTATTTTTCCCAATCATAGCTAGCATAGTCCACATTTTGCATTACACCTTCCCCCCTTATTTTAAATTTTAAACACAGGTCCTTTTCTCTCCTTTTTTTAAATTTTAATTTAATTATACAAGACAGAGTCTCAGTATGTTGCCCAGGCTGGTCTTCAACTCCTGAGATCAAATGATACATCCATCTCCGCCTCCCAAAGTGCTGAGATTACAGGCCTGAGACACTGTGCCCGGCCTTAAACACAAATCTTAATTCATTCTTACAATTATCCTGAGGTTAGAAAAATGGAAGGGGAAGAAAAGTGGCAAGCAGGTAGGCTGACTTCAGCTTCATTATTTGGAAGGACAGTTTGCTCAGTTAAAACACACTACTGCCCACAAAGGCCAAGACAACAGAAAAATACAGGCATATAAATAGATTTTATATGTGACAGCAGTTTGAATGGAGACTTTTTCAATGCAAATGGAAAAAAGCTGTGCTTGGGAATAAATGACAACGAATTTTTTTTATCTCAACAGCTGTCCTGAGATCATGTCTCTACATCTCCACCTGCATTCTGGAGTCAGGGAGAAAGCCAAAACGGACGACAAGACACTAGACCAGCCATGTCCAACCCTTTGACTACAAGGACTTTTCCGCCTATCTGTGGTGGTGGGTATCATGAAAATTATGCACAAACCTTTTTTTTTTTTTTAAGTTCATCAGCTATCGTTAGCAGTAGTGTATTTTATCTGTGGCCCAGGAGCATTCTTCTTCCAATGTGGCCCTGAGAAGCCAAAACACTGGACATCTGTGCACTAGATCAAAAGGCTACTCCTTCTGGAAGCAATTGTAAAGAATTTCTGACATTATCTTGACATGAAAACCAATGGATAGTGGGACAGAATGAAAAATCTTCAAGAATTTTTCTTGTTTTTTTTTTCTTTTGAGTCAAGGTGTTGCTCTGTGGCCCAGGGTGGAATACACTGGTGAGATCACAGCTCAGTGCAGGCTCAAGTGCTCCTCCCACCTCAGCCACAGTAGTAGGTAGGACTACAGATGCGCACAACCACTCCTGGCTAATATTTTATTTTTTGTACAGATGGGGTCTCACTATATTGTCCAGGTTGGTCTCAAACTCCTTGACTCAAGGGATCCAGGACAGGATAACAGGTGGGAGCCACCACACCTGGCTATGTGCATGAACTTTTAAAACAAATACAAGGCTCCACAAAAGTTAAGATTTTCCCACCTAATTTCCAGGGGATCTTTTGGTGCAAAGATGAGAAACCCTTAAAAGTACACAGACAACTCCAAAGATTCAAGGGAGTTCATTCGGGCTGAGCCAGCCCACTGGGCAGACTGACCTTCAAACAAGGCCCACCCATGACATACACCAGATGGCTCTCCAAGAATCTCTCCAGTTCTCAGGGTCCCTAAGGTACTGGACAGAGCTAGGAAAGCAAACCCATTTGCTTCTTCCTGCAGGAAACCCCTTGAGGTCAGGACCCCACAATAAGACGAGGATGGAGTGGCTCAACCTCAGTTAACAGGCCAGACTCAAAGTGGTATAATGTCTTAACCAAGGATGTGGGACTCCAGGTCTGAATCCGAACTCAGTTCTTCTTTAATAACCACACTTTGTTAATTTTCCTTAACAGGGGTTCCTGGCAAGTCATTTCTCCCTCAGGCCTTCGGTTTCCTCACCTACAAGATGAGAACGCTGCACGAGATGGAAATTCGGGGCATAAGGGCATCCCCTTATGCGCACAGCCCACCCCGCCCACGGGCCCCTCGAGCCTCCATCACAGTTCCCAACACGCACCCGCCCCACAAATCCTGCCCAAGGTGAGGGCTGGTCCCGGGTCCTCTGGCTGCCGCATCAGCGAGTGCAGGATGGAGGAGAAGCCTCCAGGGAGGCGACGCGGGCTCAAGGACGCAACTCGGCCAGGAGTGAACTGGGGCCCCGAGGGAGATGTCCAGTCCGGTGCGGGAGCCCAGCCCTTGTCCCTGACCCCCTTACCTCCATGGTCCGTATCTCCTGCTGGGTGAGGTCCTTGGACACAGCGCACATGGTGCGCAGCCCGCGCAGGCTGCCAACAGAGATGCTGATGAGCTTCTGGAGCTGCCCGCACTGCTGCAGCACCTGGCTGGCCGCGGCCCGTGAGCCTCCCTCTGCGATAGCCGCGTCACCCCAGCCACCGCTCTCCTTCTTCTCTCCCATCGGGGCCGAGCGCAGCGCCGCTCTATGCAGGCTGCAGCGGCCCAGGAGCAGAGCTTGGGGCGCTGGTGTCTAGGCAAGGAACCCCCGAACCGGGAGAGCTGGACCAGGTGTTACCCTCCGCGGTGCCCTAGCCAGGACTCTGGTAGACCTGGCAGCCGAGTCTGCCGATCCCGCCCTCAGACCCGCGGCGGTGGGGGCAAAAAGCCACGGCGATGGGGGCAATAACCCGCGACGGCGGGGTGAAAAAGCCGCAGCGGTAAAAACCTGCGGCGGCGGGAGTAAAAAGCCGCGTCGGCAAAAAGCCACGGCCGCGGGGAAAAAGCCGCGGTGATGGGGGCAAAAAGCCGCGAGGGCGGGGGAAAACAGCCGCGGCGGGGGCAAAAAACCGCAAAAAGCCGCGGTGGCGGGCGCAAAAAGCCGCAACGGTAGAGTTAAAAAGCCGGGGCAGTGGGGGAAAAAGCCGGGGCGACGGGGGCAACAAGCCACGGCGGCGGGGGCAACAAGCCACTGTGGCGGAGGCAAACAGCCGCGGCGACAAAAAGCTGCGGCGGCGGCGGGGGCAAAAAGCTGCGGTGACGGGGGCAAAAAGCCGTAAAAAGTCGCAGCCTTGGGGGCAGAAAGCAAAGGCGGCGGGGGCAAAAAGTCGCGGCGGCGGAGGCATAAAGCGGCAAAAACCCGCAGCGGCGTGGTCAAAAATCCATGGCGGCAAAAAGCCGCGTCGGCGGGGGCGAAATAGTGGAAATGGGGTAGAAGGCAGCACAGCTTGACATTCCTGGAGTGTGATGTGGAAGGAAAAGTGCAGAGGAAGACAAACAAAGATGTAAGTAGGCTTGACTCAGTGCAGCTAAGAACAAAGATGTTATCTTGATGTTATCTATCAGCTAATTTTTTGTATTTTAGTAGAGAAGGGGTTTTACCACGTTGGCCAGGATGGTCTCGATCTCCTGACCTCATGATCCACGCACCTCAGCCTCCCAAAGTGGTGGGATTAGAGGCATGAGCCACAAAGTGCTCAAAAAATCTATTAATTAAAAAATGTGTATGTAGCCGTCTTTAATCTACCATGTCCATTAGCAGATAAATACTATAAGAAAAATAACAACAATGAAAGAAACATAGACTTGGAGTAGATACTCTGATTTATTTAATAAAAATTTGAAAATAGACCAAATTACTGTATGATAAAAAAAATCTGTTACTATTGAGGATGAGGGTTAGTGTTTGGAAAGGGGCAGGAGAAGTATCTCTATTTTTAGTAATGTTCTATTTTCATACATGGTTCTAAGCAAATACATGTGTTTCATTAATGAAGCTATCCATATTTAATCATTGTACTTTTCTGCATGTATGATATATGTCAATAAATGTCTTAAATTATATACAGCAAAAATAGACAAAAACACAAGAAGACATACACAAATGTTAAAACTAGAGAGAAATTTGAATATAAGTAAGTCTCTGAATGACTGGTAGAACAAACGGAAAAATAAGATGGAGAGGTTTGGAACAGTATGATTAGCAAAATTGACATATCTGTCTTTTAATACAGGAAGAAACATGGATTAAAAAAAGGACTTGTCTCGGAGCATGATTTCTGAAAATAGTGGAATCGAGTTTGAATCTAGTAAGTACATATAAATAAATGTCTTAAAACTCCTCTTATGTTAGCTAATTAAGAAATATTATTGTAATAGACATTAGAAAATATTTTAATAAATTGAGTGCATTTCACACGCTAAGGAAATGATCTTACTTGCATTTGATAGTTCAATTAGATACATATATACCTATAGGTAGTTTAAAATATTTCTAATAACCTTATATACTTTTAGAAAGCATTGATATATGTTTGCACTATCTGGTCTATAGAGTACACACACAAAACATGATTATAGCTCTTCTGCTATAAACTTCAAATGTCTAATTAAAACAAAAATCTAGAATGAGAAGAGTTCTTTGCAATTTTTTTTTTACCTAATAGAATATAGGAAAGATAGCTGCAAATATACCTGACACACTTATCTGTGAGTATGGTGGTAGCCTTTTTATTTTATTTTATTTTGAGACAGGGTCTCACTTTGTCACCCAAGATGGAGTGCAGTCATGTGATCAGACCTCACTGAAGCCTTCACATACTGTGCTCAAGCGATTCTTTCACCTCAGTCTCCTGAGTAGCAGGGACTGCAAGTACATGACACCATGCTAGCTAATTTTTGTAAAGATGGGGTTTCACCATGTTGCCCTGGCTGATCTCCATCTCCTGGACTCAAGAGATCTGGCCACCTTGGCCTCCCAAAGTGCTGGGATTATAGTTTTGAGGCACCGCGATCAGCCCAGCCTTAAAAAAGGCAGACTAGAGATCTTTATCTATGAAAATCTATATCTATCTATAAAATAAACATATGTGTTCCTTATATAAAAATATATATTATTAATATTATATAAAATTGTTTTCAAGGTAGAAATATATAAAGAGGGTGCATGTAGTGCCTGGGGCATTGTGTAGTGAAGCTCAAGACCTCTGAAGAAATGCCCCTTGCCTCTTTTGTCTGGGCTAGAATCCGAGAAGGGAAAGCAGCAGATGTACTGGTTCCCAGGTTCTTGGCATCCTACAGAGAGAAACTTTTTTGAGCTAGGGTAGTGTTTACCACCATTGTTCTTACTCTTCTCTTTTATGTAGTAAGCAGAGACTAGCTTCATGAGAACAGACTGTGACTGTCAAGGCTGTCTGTTATTTTGTGCAGCATTAATTGAGAAATTCTAGCACCTGAAGACCTCTAGGCCATTTGAGGGTAGGTGCAGGGGAGGAAAGGGAAGCTTGCATCCCTCCTGCTGTGGAGAGAACCCGCGGGAAGCACAGACCTTGTCCTAACTGAAGGCAGACCCCCTTGCTAAAAAGCTTCTCATCAGCCAACCCTGGATGAGTTTCCATGTCTATTTACTAAATAATCCTTATTGCTTTTCTTCATATGGGCAAAGTATGGTTTACAGGGACTATTGTTCCTTTGAACACCCGTCGTGGAAACCCCTTCCTGTTGTGGGAAAACAGGCTTCCATATGTGTCTTATTGGGAAACACATAGGCAATTTCTATGTTTTTACTGCATCTATTTCAGGGATATGGGAACTGAATAGTGCCCATCAAAGTCTCACCTGATGTTGGAAATTGATCTGAGAGCACGGAAGGACAGAATTCTTTCTTTGTTCCTGGGCAGCGGTGGTTGAGGGATCATTTTGTGGCAGCTACAGTGGCAATGATGGAGGCAGAATGGAGGGCTCAGTACCAAGACAAGGAGAGAGTTGGCCTCACAATGGCAGCATTGCAGGGGTGCGCTCTACAGAGCATTTGCTCACATGGTTTTGGGCATTGTCTCTAACTACATTGCTTCCCCAATAGGTTGACCCATTCTAACTAACTCCTTTTCTCTTTAAAAAAGCAAACTTCATTTTTATGACTTGCAATTGTAAACGACACCAATGGCCAGTTATCATTCAAATTCTCTGTTACTTAATCCTGCTTTTTCCTGACGTATGCAACTTTCGCCTAAAAAATTGGACACTTTGTTGCTTACTCATTGTCTTTACACATTTTAAAATGTTGCTTTGTGTCCCCAATCCCTAACTACATTTTCAATGTTTTGCAAGTGGAGTCCATGTGTTCTTGATTTACATGAAGCTCAAAATAATGGTTATAGTAACTAGTACTTCATAATTAAGCAAAAAGCTCTTATTGAAAAATGACAGAACTATACATAGGGATGACAACATGGAGTGATATTTCGTGAGATCACAAAGTTATGGTATGGCAGAAGTAGAACGCTGAGTAGGGACTCTGTGTTCCCAATCATTATTTCTACCGCCAGCTTTCTATTTTGATGTTAATAATGTTCTTATGTGGGAAAACCTACATATCTGTCAATGTTTAGTTCATTGACAAAGAAATAGAAAGAGCTTCAAGAACACTCTAATCTTTAAAAAATAAAATACCTATAATTGGCCATACGAAAAAATTGGTACTTGACATATACTGAGATCGTTTTATTTTGTGCTAGACAAAGGAATTCATAGAACAGAATGTGCTTTAAGTTTTATGAACAGTGCCTGCGTGTGTGTGTGTGTGTGTGTCTATAGATGCATATTAGGCCGTTGAAAAGTTTTATTATTCTTTCCAGGAGAGAGACTGTCAACTTTTGAACCTAATTAGAACAAGTAGATTGCTTCTTCATATTTTTATTAAGGCAAAGAGAGTCTAGTTAAAAATAATTCAACTTGTTGTGGAAATGCTATAAATTGCTGTGAAGTGAGTTGCTGGCTATGGCTTGTCAAAGCAAATATATTGTACAAATCTTAGGGGAGAATTAGTGCTTGTGCATTAAAATCAAATCATCTTGCAGCATACCGAGGAAAAGGTTAGACTTTTAAAATAATTTCAAAGTCTTGGAAAGAACAATTATGCTCAAAAAAGAGCCTAGCAACCCTCAATGACCAATGCCCCTTTTATATAGTTTGGTATCTGAATTAGAATCCCAGAAACTACAAATTCCTCTGGGTGTGGGTGCTGCATTTTGAGGATTTTATAACACTGCCATCACCAAGCTCTCTTTTGATATTCACTTTAAGGAGATAATTTACGGACAATCAGAGAGCATAAACCAAAGTAGATATCTATCTAGATAGCTAGATACATCTCCATATCATTGACAGGATACATTCTGGCCGAATGTGAGTACAACCTATGGATGTGTTTGGAGAGAACAAGTGTTCCACCTGAATGGCAGATCAGGATTATTCCTTCTCATCTGCTGCAATGGCTCAATGTGTTAAGGAGAGGAGCGAGACAGCAAGAACCTCATTCATTCAGTCATACAGACCAAAAGGAGGAATGTCGCCCAGCCCTCTAAACTGACCCAGAACCCAGCTCATGTCTCAACTGCTACCTCTCCTACTTAGAAAGAAGTAACTCCACCAAAGCAGGGTTCTGGACAAATATATTTTTATTGATCATATACAAATAGATGAAGATGGACTTGGATGTTAAGAAAAATAATACTATACAAAATCAAGAGTAGACAGTCGCCCCTAGACTTAAATTAAGAGTGTGTACATTAGATAATTTAATCCAATGTATCAGGTAAAAACTTGAACAAACCTTTTGGCCTCTTCCTTAAAATTCAGGGAAGCATGTCCTCCAGAAAACAGAATCAAAATATAAATAAAAGACTGGCTTGAGATGAAAGGAAACCTTACAAATGAAAAGAAGCCAGATGAGAGGCACTTAACTGAGAATGAAAAGAAACTGAGTGGACAAAATAATTATGAGAAGATGAACCTTCAAATTAGAAAGAGGGAAAAAAGCTTATTTGATACTATGGGAACTCAAAAGAGAGTGAACACGAATGAGAAAATTCCAAGAGTAAAGAAAAGTAGCATAGCTAAATTAAGAGCATGAGAAAATGTATACAGTTTTGAGTAATAAGAACAGAAATCAAAAGTAACTATTGTATGTTATATTTTAGTAGAGCAACACTGAAGAAAAATGAAAAGAAATAAAATTAAATATGAACATATGGAGAACAGAATAATATTTTTAAAATTTTTAGTTTCTAAGCTTATCTGAAATTTTAATTTTGTTTTCTTATGTAATACCAGAGTTATTTGGTATTACACTATTTTCAGTGATATTTTAAGTAGTTGTCCTAGAAAATTTTATTTCTAGAAAATTTTATGTCCTGGAAACATTTTATTTTTTAAAAATGTATATTTAAAAATACATTAAATGTGTATATACATCAATCATATGTATCCATTTCTGTTTTTCTTGAATTGCAAATGAAATTTGTATTTTTGTGTTCCTGGAAAAAAATAAACTTGAATGGATTGTAATATATTATTCATGCTGTAATTCAATATATTTGAATAGTTTAAAAATGTAACATTTATAGTTAACAGATACTGACCTATAAATTTTCTGTCATATAATGATGCTGTGAGACAATCTAAGAAGAATTAAAATTTAAATTCATGTATTCCTACTTTTTCCTCTGTTCTCTAACTAATATATTTTAATTACAGATGGAGGAACAGATAGATGTTAGATAAATAGATATATAATAGATAGATCATCCAAAATTCTTATTCTTATGGTTTTATGTAGTCAGTATTTACCTCGATTTTTCTACGTGTTTATCCTTCCAATTTAGTTCATTACTTCCTGCACCTTTGATGTCATATATATAAACAGGAAATAACACATGGTGGCCGGGATGTAGAGAGAGCCACAGGACTTGTGAATAAAATCCACAGGCAAGGATGTGGCAATTCCTTTTGCAATATTGGAGGGGATGCCAAACCCTATGTTTGCTGTGGAAAAGAGTATGGTAGTTCCTCAAAACATCAAAATGGTATTGCCTTATGATTCGGCAGCCCCACATCTCAAGATAGCAAAAGAATTGAAAGCAGAGTCTTGAAAAAATATTTGCACATCCATGTTTGCAGCAGCATTATTTGCAGTAGCTAAAACGTAGAAGCAATTGAAGTGTCCAACAACAGATGAATGGATAAGCAAAACATGATGTATACATACAATGGAATATTATTCAGCCTTAAACATGAGGGAAATATTCTGACATATGTTGCAACTTGGATGAAACTTGAGGATATTATGCCAAGTGAAATAAGTTAGTCAGTGAAGGACAAATACAGTATAATTCCATTTGTATAAGAGACTTAAAGTGGACAGAATCATATAGATAGTACAATGATGATTGCCAGAAGCTGGGGGGAGGAAGACATGGGGAAGTACTGTTTAATGGGTATAGAGTTTCAGTTTCACAAGATGAAACGAGTTATGGAGATGGATGGTAGGGATGGCTGCACAATGTTATGACTCTATTTAATACCACTGAACTGTACACTTAAAATGGTTAACAGAGTACTTTTTATGTTATGTGTATTTTACCACAATAAAAAAAAAATAACTTAGGAACATTTTCCTGAAAGAGTCCACATAAAATTCATTTTAATGCATGTGTTTATGCATAGCTTTCTATTTTTCTCTTTTCTATTTATATCCCAAATTAGAATATAATGCTAATCAAGCATAGTGGCTGTGTTTCTTGCTTCCTCTAGTCTGCAGGTAGCATACAAATGTAACAAACTACTCATTAATGTCACATCTATTTATTTTCTGCCTTATACCAAGCTTGTGGGATTCTCTTAAATACAACATTTTTATACTTACACCTATGCAATACCCATTAGCATCGCCTTCTTAAATCAGGGGATATTGAGTCTCTGTAAGGTGCAGTAACTTACTAAGAAACAAAACTCAGCATTAAAATCTGTATACTTCAATATCCTGCCCTCTTCTCATTTGTCTTTACTGCCTTTTATGTATGTGTTAGATATTCAATAAATTATCTTTTTTAAACTGAATTTAAGCCGTGGAGCAGTGTTTTGTTGAACAATAAATATGGTATTGGACACTCTTCCTCCCTTTCATTTATGATGCAGTTCATGAAAAAGAGAAATTCTTTCATTGTGCTAGAAGCTTAAAATAATGAAAATGCCACTTTCTACATTAAACAGAAACTGAAGAGAATCAAGGTGAATTGGATGAGACATAGAAAACAAGTGGGAAATAAATCTAGTATAATTTCCCCTTTGTGTACCTTTGTTATTTAGCATTTGAGAAAATGTTTCTCCCAAATATCTTCACATCTTAATTCATGTCTATAAAGTAGACATTTATGTCTCACCTTGTCAAGAAGGGAAAACTCTAATATAAACATTTCCCAAAAATGCTTCCTGCTAAAACATAAGCTCAGTCTGGCTAGAAATTAAGCTCACTTCATAAAAATTAGTTGGTAGCTAATCTTTGCATGCTGTACTCTGAACTTGAGTGAAAGCTGTCCATCAGGCATACAGGGAATGACAGAAAAGGTGACAACAGAAGATGAATGCTATGTCACTAACCTTGAAAGATGACCTTCCTTTTCTTTCAAATTCTTGATATCTTAAGACTTCATTAACTCATCTTTCTTTGCCCTTGGTTCAACATTGTGCTATACCAAAACTCATGTAAAACAATGATCTATTGTAATAAAAATGGCATTTTTCTTTCATGTAGATGCAAGCTATCTGGCATTTTTACAATCAACATACTTCCGTTGTCAATTTTTCATTCTGTATTGGAATAATTGATAGGTCTTTCTGAAGGGATGAAGGTGTTTCTGTGTTCATTGTGATCCAAACATTTTTAGACCTAGTGGTGTTTGTAAAACAATTTGTGCCAGCTGACCAAGGATCACTGTGGCAGAAAGCAGCAAACTTGCATAAGATGTCGCTGCCTCATCAGTTGGCTTTGAAAACTAGGGGCTTATTCTATAGTCCTATGAATCAAAGACATTGATAGATGTAGTATAAGATTACAATCACATTTTCCTTTTGACAGTCACATTATAAAGAATGATGTATTGCAATAATCTCAATTAGCTGATTACAATTAAAATTAATAGTTTATTATTGCTGATAAACAATCATGACTCTCCTGTTCTCAAATGTGCAAGGAATTCTTGTAATTTTAATACAAATTTGCATATTATTACTAATTGATTTAATCTCATTGTATTTGGTTCATGGATCCAATTTATTAAAATATTGATAATGGGGTAATGATTTGTCTCCCCATTTCATTTACACTAAAAGACACAATTCGTACAATGGTCTGCAAGCCCATCATGATCTGCCACATGTTAACCGCCAAAATTCTTTTATGTCTTCACCCTTGATCTTACCAGTGGTCCTGACCACCTCACTGTCCTCTGGACATGCAAACATGCTGCTGTCTTATGACCAAGACTCTAGTTAATTTCTTGGCTTGGAAAGATAACCCTCCATATATCCATTGATCAGCTCATTCAACTTCCTCAAGTCTTTACTGAAACCTCACATTCTCGATGAGACCGATTCAGTATTTCAAACTGCCTCCCAGCTGCAACAGTCCAAAATCCCTTAGTCTTCTGTGTATTTTTGAAAGGATTTATTGAGATATAATTTACATACTGTAGAGTGCACATATTAATGTCTACAAGTCAATGGCTTTTAGTATATACACAGATAAGTGGAGCCATCATCACAATGAATATTAGAGCATTTTCATCACTTCAAAAAGAAACCCCACCTTCTCTAGCTGTTAACCTCCTATGCACTCATCCCCTACTCAATTCTAAGCAACCACAAATCTGTTTTCTGTCTCTGTAGATTTTCCTATTATATTTTCATCTAAATAGAATCATACAATAGGTGGCCTTTTGTGCCTGGCTTCTTTCAGTTGGCATAATGCTATCAAGGTTCATATGCGTATTGGTACTTTATTTCTTTTTATAACTGTATAACATTCAATTTCATGGATATAACATTTTGTTTATCCAATAATATTTTTATTGACATTTGAGTTGTGTTCAGCCTTTGGCTATTTTAAATACTGCTGTTAAAATACTTGTGTACAATTTGTGTTTGAACATCTCTTTCCAATACTCTGGTGGTATACCTGGGAATAAATTTCTGGGTCATATGACAATTCTATGTTTAATATATTTAGAAGCCATCAACTTATTTTCCAAAGTGGCCAGTTCTAGCCATAGAGTATCTAACTGTGGTTTTGATTTGTAGTTGCCTGATGAGTGATGCTGTTGAGTATCTTTTTATGGGATTATTGACCGTTCGTGCATCTTCTTGGGATACACATCTATTCCTATCATTTATCAGTTTTGAGTTGGGATTTTTGTTAATGAGTTAAAACAATTTTTCTATATTCAAGATACATATATATGCAGATATATAGATATGTGTTTTTCAAATATTTTCTCACAATTTTTGAGCTGCCTTTTGACATGGTTGGTTGTCCTTTGAATCACCAATGTCTTTAATTTTTAAGAAATTTTAAATATCTAATTTTTATTTTGTTGCTCATGTTTTTGGTGTTACAGCTATTTCTTTGCTAGATCCAAAATCCTGAAGATTTTCCCATATACTTTATTCTAGCTCTTGCATGTATGTCTTTAATTCGTTTGAGTTAATATTTTTGTATGCTTTGGGGTAAGGGTTCCAATTTACTATTTTGCAAGTGGCGATCCACGTGTACGTTGTTGACCCAGTTTGTTCAAAGACTGTCTCTTCCTCATTGAATTGCACATGGCACCACTTTAAGAATCCATTGACTATAGATACATAGTTTTATATATGGACTCTCAATTCTCTTCCATCAATCTATATATTTTTCCTTCATCAGTATTTTGTTGTCTTGATTACTGATGCTTTGCCGTAAGGTTTGGAGCACGGGGGTGTGAATTATCCTAATATGTTTTCTTTTATCAAGACTAT